>NC_000007.14:87658294-87961324 GCF_000001405.40 Homo sapiens
AGTGGAAAGAACCAGTGAACTGAAAGACAAAACAATAGAAATTTCCTAATCTGAACAACAGAGAGAAATTAGACTTGTTAAAAAATGAACAGAGCCTCAGGGACCTGTGGGACAATAACAAAAGATGACACCTGTCAGAATTCTTGAAGGAGAGAAGAAAGAAGGTGGGACTGAAAAAGTACTCAACAGCTGAAAATTTCCCAAAGTTAGCAAGAGACATAAGCAAACAGATTCAAGAAACAGAGCAAACCACAAATAGGAAAAATTCAAATAAATTCATGCCAAAGGCACGATAATTAAACCAATAAATAAAGACAAAGAAAAAATGTTGCAAATAGAGAAAAATGACAACTTGCCTACAAGTAAGCAATTGAATGACAGTAGATTTCTGATCAGAAACCATGGAGGCCAGGAGGAAGTGGTAAAACATATTTCAAGTGCTGAAAGATAACTGTCAACACAGCAGAATTATTCTTCAGCAATGAAGGAAACATTAAGACCTTCTCACAGGAAAGACAACTAAGGAAATGTGTTGCCGGCAGACTTACCCTCAAATAATGGTTAAAGAACATTCGTTAAGCAGAAAGGAAATGATAAAAGAAAGAACTTTAGGCTGGGAGGCCAAAGCAAGCGGATCACTTGAGCTCAGTAGTTCAAGACCAGCCTGGGCAACATGGCAAAACCCTGTCTCTACAAAATATACAAAAAATTAATCAGACATGGTGATATGCGTCTGTGGGTCCCACCTATTTGGGCGGCTGAGGTGGGAGGATCACTTAAGCCCAGGAAGTTGAGGCTGCAGTGAGCTGTGATCGTGCCATCATGCCACTGCAATCTAGCCTGGGCAATAGAATGAGACCCTGTCTCAAAACAAACAACAACAACAAAACTTTGGAATAACAGGAAGAAAGGATACAGTAAACAAGAATATGGGTAAATACATTAGGCTTTCCATTTTACTTTTAGTTTTCTGTTTGTTCCCCCTGTTCTTGGTTTCTCTGTTTTCTTTTTTCTGTCTTCTAGGGGGCTGTTTGAATACTTTTTAGAATTCCATTTTTATTTATATTGTTTTTTAGTGTATCTCTTTATATAGATTTTTCAGTGGTTGCAGTATTATATTATACCAGTCTACTGGTATCATTTTCCAGTGTGAAGTTTAAAAATCTTACCTTTCTTTATGTCCCTTTATTCTACCCTGTGTGTGTAGCATAGTTGTTTTAAATATTTCCTCTACATACATATAGGACCACATTAGACAGTGTTATAATTTTTTTTCTCCACCACCAAAGATAATTTAGAACACTCAAGAGGAGAAGGATAAAGCAAGTTTGTTGTTCCTGTATTTATAGTGTAGATACAGTTTGCTAATTTGTCTAGCACACAGTCCGGGGTATAAGAGGTAAAAAGAAACCCAGGGAACTTACTGCTGTGTCATTCTCTGGGTTCTGAAGTTTCTAGCCAGTCTTCCTTTTTATCTCCACCTTCAGAATCTTTTAATGTTTGTTTTCATAAAATAGCCAGAGTTTTTAGTTGTATTTAGCAGGAGGAAAATACATCTACTTAATTTTGTTCTATCCCAGAAGTTGCCTTTATTTTTTAATGTGAAGAATTACATCAATTGTTTTTCTCATGTTAAATCACCTAAATATTCTTAGGATAAATCCAACTTGAGCCTCATATATTGTTTTAATCTACTTTGCCAGATTTAGGATTTCGGTTTGATAACATTTTAGAGGTTTAGGTTCTGTGTTTATGAGTAAAATTAGTCTGTTTTGTGCTTTTTTGGGTTTTGTTGTCAAGGTTATCCTAGCCTCAAAAATGCATTGCAGGTGTTTTGTCTTTTTTTCATTCTTTGGGAGAATTTTGCGTAAGTTTGGAATCATGGTCTATTAGGTAGCAGTTACCAGTAAAAACTCTCTGGGTCAAATGGTGAGTGTGAGTGAGTGTATTTGTGTGTGTACATGCACTTCAACTACTAATTCACTTTATGCTTTCAACTCTATTCAGGTTGTTGATTTCTTTGATGTTATTCTATTTTGTATTCTCCTTAAAGTTGTCAATGTCTTCTATCCCATATACTCTCAATTTTTAAATCTCTAGTTAGTTGTAGTATTTCCTTTAATGTGACACTTAAAGTAGATTAATTCAGCTGAATGGTTTTTAAAAATTAAAGCTCTCTAAAGAGATATAAAGTCTAAAACGTTTTTAGTTCTTTGTTTTTATTTTATGATCGTTAGTTCCTTTTTCTTTTTTTCTTAACCAGTATTGCCAGAGATTTGTCTGTTTTATTAGTCTTTCAAATAACTAATTTATGGCTTTGCTGATCATTTATGTATATTAATGCATTATTGTTTCCTCTGTTATATCTTCTTTGGCTCTATTATGTTTATGTTGGACTCTTAGCAGATTAATTTTCAAATTTTTCTCCAACTACTGCTTTGGCTAAATTTATGTTTGAGTAATGTAATATTTTCATTAATACTCATTTTTAAGTAATTTCTACTTGTTCTGATCATTTCTTTGTCTTATGAGTAATTTGGAAGTCTTTTTATGTTTCTGAAAATAGGAGATTTTACCTTTTCATATTTACTTCTATGTTAATTGAGTTATAGTCAGAATTTGGTTTGTATGGTAGATTTTGTTGAAATTTGTAAGACTTACTTAAGGGCCTAGTTTATAGTTACTTTAATAAATGTCCCATCTTGAGAAGAAGATGTATTCTTAATTGTTGATTATCTTTTTTCAAATGTTATTTACATTTTTTGGCTTTATTTATTGATATTAGGTATTTTAAATGATTTTATTCTGATAGATTACATTTTTAAAATTTTTAATTTTATGGGTACATAGTAGGTGTATATATTATGGGGTACATGAGATTTTTTTACAGGCACACAATGTGTAATAATCACATCAGCATAAATAAGGTATCCATCACTTCAAGCATTCATTTTTTTGCATTACAAACAATTCAATTATACTCTTTTAGTTATTTTTAAATATGCAATAAATTATTATTAACTGTAGTCACCCTGTTGTGTGATCAAATACTAGATCTTATTAGTTCTATCTAACTACATTTTTGTACCCATTAACCATCCCCACTAACTGCCCCCCACCTTCACTACCCTCCCCAGCCTCTGGTAACCATTATTTTACTCTCTATCTCTATAAGTTTAACTGTTTTTAATTTTTAGTTCCCACAAATAAGTGAAAATGAGCGAAGTTTGTCTTTCTGTGTCTGTCTTTTGTCATTTAACATAATGTCCTCCAGTTCCATCCGTGTTTTTGCAAATGATAGGATCTCATTTTTTTATGGCTGAATAGTACTCCCTTGTGTATATTTACCACATTTTCTTTATTCATTTGTCTGTTTCTTCCAAGTCTTGGCTATTGTGAATAGTGCTGCAATAAACATTGGAGTGCAGCTATCTCTTCAGTATACTGGTTTCCTTTCTTTTAGGTATATATCTAGCACTGGGATAGCTGGATCATATGGTAGTTTAATTTTAAGTTTTATGAGAAACCCCTATACTTTTCTCCATAGTGGCTGTACTAATTTACATTCCCACCAACAGTGTATAAGAGTTCCCTTTTCTCCACACCCTCACCAGTATTCATTATTGCTTGTCTTTTGGATAAAAGCCATTTTAACTGGAGTGAAATAATATATCATTGTACTTTTGATTTGCATTTATCTGATGATCAATGATGTTGAGCACCATTTCATATACCTGTTTGCCATTTATAGGTCTTCTTTTGAGAAACATCTATTCTGATCTTTTGCCCATTTTAAGTTTAATTATTAGTTTTTTCCTGTAGAGTTGTTTGAGCTCCTTATATATTCTGCTTATTAATCCCTTGTCAGATGAGTAGTCTGCAAATATTTTCTCCCATACTGTGGGTTATCTCTTCACTTTGTTGATTGTTTACTTTGCAGTGCAGAAGCTTTTTAACTTGATGTGATCTCACTTGTCCGTTTTTGCTTTGGTTCCCTGTTCTTATGGGGTGTCAGTCAAGAAATCCTTGCCCAGTCCAATGTCCTGGAGACTTTCCACAATGTTTTCTTTTAATAATTTCACACTTTCAGGTTTTAGATTTCAGTATTTAATCCATTTTGATTTGATTTTTTGTATACAGTGAGAGAGAGGGGTCTAGTTTCATTCTTCTGCATATGGATAACCAGTTTTCCCAGCACCATTTATTGAAGAGACTGTCCTTTCCCCAATATACATTTTCAGAATCTTTGTCAAAAATGAGTTAACTGTAGTTTTATGGATTTATGTCTGCATTCTCTATTCTGTTCCATTGGTCTATGTATCTCTTTTTATGCCAGTACCATGGTGTTTTGATTACAATAGCCCTGTAGTATACTTTGAAGTCAGGGAATGTGATTCCTCCAGTTTTGTTTCTTTTGCTCAGGATAGCTTTGTCTATTCTGGGTCTTTGTGGTTCCATATGAATTTTAGGATTGGTTTTTCTATTTCTGTGAAAAATGTCATTGGTATTTTGATAGGGATTGCATTGAATATGTATACTGCTTTGAGTAGTATGGGCATTTTAACAATAGTCTTCCAATTCACTAACATGGAATATCTTTCAGTTTTTTTGTGTCCTCTTAAATTTCTGGCATCAGTGTTTTATAGTTTTCATTGTAGAGATCTTTCCCTTCTTTGGTAAAGTTTATTTCTAGGTATTTTACTTATAGCAATTATAAATAATAGTACTTGATTTCTTTTTCAGATTGTTCACTGTTGGCATATAGGAAAGCTGCTGACTTTTTGTATGTTGATTTTGTATCCTGCAACTTTACTGAATTTGTTTATCAGTTCTAATGGCTTTTTGGTGAATTCTTTAGGTTATCCAAAATATAAGATCATATCATCTGAAAACAAGGATAATTTGACTTTTTCCTTTTTAGTTGGATGCCCTTTATTTCTTTCTCTTGTCTGTTAATCCCTCTTATTTTATTGTAAATACAAGGTTCTTTTCTACTTAAGCATGATGAGATCTATTCCTTGTGTTTATTACCCATTGACGCTATTAACTAACCATCTCGTTGTCCAGTTCAGCTGCATTCTTCCCCTGTTTTCTCTCTATTTCCATCTATCTAGTCAATACTTATTAAGCTTTCCCTACAGTTGGCTTTTCTTCTACCGCTACTATGTATTATTGAATTCTGTGTTCTTTGTATACCTTTTTATTTTCAGTAAATTTCTCAAGAAAACTTCCATTATTTTTCTACTCCATCTTTCTGTTACAGCATAGATTTTGTCTTTAATCTTTTAAAATACTGTATACTTTTCCACATTATTGCTTTTAAAAGCTACTGTTGAAAAATCTTACTGAACTTAGGATGTTAGACAAGGTAGAGTAAGTCCAATAATAACCTAATTCTCTGAGTGTTCTTAGAGTACTATAACAAAATACTACATACTGAGAGGCTTAAGTAACAGAAATTTATTTCTCAGTTCTGGAGGATGAGAAGTCCAAGATCAAGATATTGGCTGATTTGCTTTCTGGCAAGCATTCTCCTTCTGGCTTGTAGGTGGTTGGTCGTCTTCTCACTGTGTCCTCACTTGGTGGAGACAGAGAATGAGAGCTCTCTGGTGACTCTTTGTATGATCCTACTGGATGAAGGCCCCACCCTTATACCTCATTTCACCTTAATTAACTCCTTATAGTGGCTATCTTGAAATACAGATATATTGGGGATAGGACTTAAACATGTGAATTTTGGAGGCATGCAATTCATTTCATACAGCATTTATCAATGTGTTGTAGCTATTGGCTTACATGTTTATATCTTCTTGTCTCTGTGCACTTTGAGGAAAGACTCTGTCATTCACTTTTAAAATAATATTAAATTAAAAATATACAGGGTAGCCAGGCATGGTGGCACACTTCTGTAGTCCAAGCTACCCAGGAAGCTGAGGCAGGAGGGTCACTTGAGGCCAGGAGTTCAAGGCTGTAGTACACTATTATTGTACCTGGAGATAGCAGCTGCACTCAAGCCTGGGCAACACAGCAAGATACCATCTCTAAAAAAATAAAATATAAAATCTAGGGTAAAACCAAAATTACTTTACTTACAAGGAAGCAGGAAAATGTGATCAATTCTCAAAGGAATACAGATGCTTATTGTGAGATGACCCAGATGTTGGAATAATCAGGCAAAGACATCAAAGCAGCCATTATAACCCTGCTCCATGATGTAAGGTGTAACTCTTGAAATGAATAGAAAAATGGAAATTCTGAGTAGAGAAATAAAATCTTCAGGAAGAACCATGGAAATTTAAAAGTATGATGTCTGAAATAAAACATTAACCAGATGAGCCTCTAAAGCAGAATGGAGATGATAGAGGTGCGTATATGAATTTCAAAGTAAATCAATAGAAATGATCCAATCTGAAGAACAGAACAGGAAGAAATTTAAAAATTTATAGCAAAATATATAAGTTTGTGTCATTGGAGTCTTAGAAGGAGAGGAGGAAGAGATTAATATAGAAAATACATTTGACAAAATAATAGCTATAAGTTCCTAGATTTGGGGAAGATAAATTTATAGATTCAAGAAGCTTAGCAAAGCATTTCACAAAATTTAACATCCTTTCTTAATAAAAATTCTCAACAATTAAAGTACAGAAGTAATGTACCTCAACATAATAAAGGTCATATATAACAAGCACACAGTAAGCATCATATTCAGTGGTAAAAAGCTGAAAGCTCTCTAAGATCAAGAACATGACAAGGGAATCCATTCCTACCACTTCTACTCAACATCATTCTGGATCTCCTAGCTAGAGCAATTATGCAAGAAAAATAAATAAAAGGTATCCAAGTTAGAACATAAGAAGTTCAATGATCCCTGTTTGCAGATTAAATTATCTTACATGTATAAGAACCTAAATACCAAAAAATGGTTAGAATTAATAAATTCAGTGAAGTCGTATGATACAAAATCAACATACAAAAATAAGTTACATTTTTATATACTAAAAATGAACTATCCAAAAATAGAAATTAAGAAAACAGTTCCATTTCCATCAGAAAAGAATAATATACTTAGGAGGAAATTCAGGCAAGGAAGTGAAACCTCTGTACACTGAAAGTTACTAAACATTGATTAAATAAATTGTAGAAGACACAAATAAATAGAAATATATCTCATGCTCATGGGTTGGAAGAATTTTTATTGTTAAATGTCCATACTACCCAAAGTGACCTATAGATTCAATGCAGTATTTCCTTTTTTAAACTTTTATGTTCAAGGGTACATGTGCAGGTTTGTCATCTAGGTAAATTGCATTTCATGGGGTTTGGTGTACAATTAATTTTATTACCCAGGTAATGAGCATAGTACGTGAAAGGTAGTTTTTGATCCTCTCCTTCCTCTCACCCTTCACTCTCAAGTAGACCTCAGAGTTTGTTGTTCTCATCCTTCTTTCCATGTGTAGTCAGTGTTTAGCTCCCACTTACAAGTGATAACGTGTGATATTTGGTTTTCTGTTCCCGCATTATTTCACTTAGGAATGATGATCTCCAGCTTGATCCATGTTGCTGCAATAGAAATGATCTCATTCTTTTTTATAGCTGTATAGTACTCCATGGCATATATGTATCACATTTTCTTTAGTGCTACAGTGAACATACGTGTACATGTGTCTTTATGGTAGAATGACTTATATTCCTCTGGGTATATACCCGGTAATGGGATTGCTGGGTCGAATGGTAGTTCTTTTAGCTCTTTGAGGAATTGCCATACTGTCTTCCACAATGACTGATGACTGACCTAATTTACATTTCTAACAGCAGTGTATAAGCATCCCCTTTTCTCTGCAACATCTCCAGCACCTGTTATTTTTGACTTTTTAGTAATAGCCATTCTGACTGGTGTGAGATGGTATCTCATTGTGGTTTTGATTTGCATTTTTCTAATGATCAGTGATACTGAGCTTTCTTTTCATATGCTTGTGGGCCGTGTGTATGCTTCCTTTGAAAAGTGTCTGTTCATGTCTTTTGCCCACATTTTTATGGAGTGGTTTGTTTTTTCCTTGTAAATTTGCTTAAGTTCCTTATAGATGCTGGATATTAGACCATGCCAGATGCATAGTTTGTAAATATTTTTTTCCCATTCTGTAGGTTGTCTCTTTACTCTGTGGATAGTTTCCTTTGCTGCACAGAAGCTCTTAAGTTTAATTAGATCCATTTGTCAATTTTTAATTTTGTTGCAATTGCTTTTGGTTTCTTTTTCATGAAATCTCTGCCCATTCCTATGTCCAGGATGGTATTTCCTATGTAAACTTCCATGGCTTTAATAGTTTGAGGTTTTACATTTAGGTCTTTAATCCATCTTGAGTTTATTTTTGTGTATAGTGTAAGGAAGGGGTCCAGTTTCAATCTTCCACATATGGCTATCCAGTTTTCCCAGCACCATTTATTGATTAGGAGTATTTTCCCCATTGCTTGTTTTTGTCAGCTTTGTCAAATATCATATGGTCATAGGTGTGTAGCCTTATTTCTGGGCTCTCTATTCTGTTCCATTGGTCTATGTGCCTGTTTTTGTACCAGTACCATGCTGTTTTGGTCACTGTAGCCTTGTGGTATAGTTTGAAGTCAGGTAATGTGATGCCTCTACCTTTGCTATTTTTGCTTAGGATTGCTTCTGGTTATTTGGGTTCTATTTTGGTTCAATATGAATTTTAAAATGGTTTTTATCTAGTTCTGTGAAGAATGTCACTGGTAGTTTGATAGGAATAGCATTGAATCTATAAATTGCTTTGGGCAGTATAGCCATTTTAGTGATATTGATTCTTCCTATTCATGAACATGGGATGTTTATCCATTTGTGTCTTCTCTGATTTCTTTGAGCAGGGTTTTGTAATTCTCATTGTAGAGATTTTTCACCTCCCTGGGTAGCTGTATTGCTATGAAGTTTATTCTTTTTCTGGCAGTTGTGAGTGGGATTGCCATTCTGATTTGGCTGTAAGTTTGGCTGTTGTTGGTGTATAGGAATGCTAGTGATTTTTGTACATTGATTTTGTATCCTGCAACTTTGCTGGAGTTGTTTTTCAGATGGAGGAACTTTTGGGCCAAGACTATGTTTTTTTTTTTCTAGATATAGAATCATGTCATCTGCAAACAGGGATAGTTTAACTTTCTCTTTTCCTATTTGGATGCCCTTTATTTCTTTCTCTTGCCTGATAGCTCTGGCTAGGACTTCCATTACTATTTTTAATAGTAGTGGTGAGAGAGGGCATCCTTCTCAGTTTTCAAGGGGAAATGCGTCTGGCTTTTGCCCATTCAGCATAAAGTTGGCTGTGGGTTTGTCATAGATGGCTCTTATTATTTTGAAGTATGTTCCTTCAATACCTAGTTCACTGAGAGTTTTTAACATGAAGCGGTGTTGAATTTTATCAAAGGCCTTTTCTGTGTCTATTGAGATAATCATATAGTTTTTGTCTTTAGTTCTGTTTATGTGATGAATCATGTTTATTGATTTGAATATGTTGAGCCAAACTTGCATCCTGGGGTTGAAGCCTACTCAATCTTGATGGATTAGCTTTTTGATGTGCTGCCAGATTTGGTTTTCCAGTATTTTGTTGAGGATTTTTGTATTGATGTTCATCAAGGATATCAGCCTGAAATTTTCTTTTTTTGTTGTGTCTCTTCCAGGTTTGGGTATTAAGATGATGTTGGCCTTAGAGAATGAGGTGGGGAGGAGTCCCTCTTCCTCATTTTTTTGGAATTATTTCAGTAGAAATGGTACCAGCTCTCATTTGTATGTCTGGTAGAATTCAGTTATGAATCCATCAGGCCCTTGGCTTTTTTTTTTTTGGTAGGCTATTTATTACTGATTTGATTTCAGAGCTCATTATTGGTCTGCTCAGGGAATCAGTTTCTTCCTGGCTCTGTCTTGAGAGAGTGTATACGTCCAGGAATTTACTCATCTCTTCTAGGTTTTCTAGTTTGTGTATGTAGAGGTGTTCATAGTAGTTTCTCTTGGTTGTTTTTGTTTCTGTGGGGTCAGTAGTAACATTCCCTTTGTCATTTCTCATTGTGTTTATTTGGAGCTTTTCTTCCTTCTTCTTTATTAGTCTAACTAGTGGCCTATTTTATTAGTTTTTTCAAAACAACAGCCCTTGGATTAATTGATCTTTTGATTGTTTTTTTTGTGTCTCAGTTTCCTTCAGTTCAGCTCTGATTTTTTTTCTTGTCTTCCGCTAGTATTGGGGTTGATTTGTTCTTGCCTAATTCTTTCAGTTGTGAAGGTAGGTTGTTAATTTGAGATCTCTCTAACTTTTTGATGTGGGCATTTAGTGCAATGAAGTTCTCTCTTAACACTGTCTTAGCTGTGTCTCAGAGATTCTGGTATGTTGTATTTTTGTTCTCATTATTTTCAAAGAACTTCTTGATTTCTGTCTTAATTTCATTATTTACCCCAAAGCCACTCAAGAGCATGATGTTTAATTTCTGTGTGATTGCATGGTTCTGAGTGATTTTCATAGTCTTGACTTCTATTTTTATTGCTCTGTGATCCAAGAGTGTGTTTGGTATGATTTCAGTTCTTTTACATTTGTTGAGGATTGTTTTATTCCAATTATTTGGTCAGTTTTAGAGTATGTGCCATGTGGTGAGGAGAAGAATGTATATTCTGGTGTTTTTTGGTGGAGAGTTCTATAGAGGTGTATCCGAGCCTTTTGGTTTAATGTTGAGTGTAGATCCTGAATATCTTTGTTAATTGTCTGCCTCAATGATCTGTTTAATACTGTCTGTGGAGTGTTGAAGTCTCCCACTATTTTTTCCATGGGAGTTTGTGCCTCTTTGTAGGTCTCTAAGAACTTGCTTTATGAATCTGGGTGCTTGTGTGTTGGGTACATATATATTTAGGGTATTTAGGTTTTTTTGTTGAATTGAATCCTTTACCATTAAGTAATGCCCTCTTTGTCTTTTTTGATGTTTGTTTATTTGAAATCTCTTTTGTCTGAATTCAGATTGCAATCCCTTCTTTTTTCTGTTTTCCATTTGCTTAGTAGATTTTTCTTTATCTCTTTATTTTGAGCCTATGAGTGTCATTACATGTGAGATGGGTCTCTTGAACACAGCATACCATTGGGTCTTGCTTTTTTATCCAGCTTCTCACTGTGCCTTTTAAGTGGGGCATTTAGCCCATTTACTTTCAAGGTTAATATTGATTTGTGTGGATTTGATCCTGTCTTTGTGTTATTAACTGATTATTATGTTGGCTTTTTCTGTGATTGTTTTACAGTGACACTGGTCTGTGTGTTTAAGCATGTTTTTGTATTAGCTGGTATTGGTCTTTCCTTTCTATATAGTGCTCCTTTCAAAATCTCTTGTAAGGCAAGCCTGGTGGTAATGGATTCCCTCAAGAGTTGTTTATCTGAAAAGGATCTTATTTCTCCTTCACTTGGGAAGCTCACTTTGGCTGTATATGAAATTCTTGGTTGAAGATTTTTTTCTTTAAGAATGTTGAATATGGGCCCCCAATCTCTTCTGGCTTGTAGGGTTTCAGCTGAGAGGTCCACTGTTAGCCTAATGGAGTTCCTTTTGTAGGTCATGTGCCCTTTCTCTCTAGCTGCCTTTAAAAGTCTTTCTTTCATTTTAACCTTGGAATAGCTGATGACATGTGTTTTGGGGGTGATCTTCTTGTATAGAATCTTGCAGGAGTTCTCTGTATTTTCTGAATTTAACTGTTAGGCCCTGTACCTCGTTGGGGAAGTTTTCATGGACAATTTCCTGAAATATGTTTTCCAAGTTGTTTTCTTTCTCCCCCTCCCTTTCAGGAATGCCAGTGATTTGTAGATTTGACCTCTTTACATGATCCAATACTTCTCACAGGTTTTGTTTATTCCTTTTTATTCCTCTTTCATTATTTTCATCTGACTTTCTTATTTCAGAGAACCAGTCTTCAGGTGCTGAGATTCTTTTGTTAGCTTGGTTTCTTCTGCTGTCAATACTTGTAATTGCATTGTGAAATTATTGTATTGTGTTATTCAGCTCTGTCAGACCCATTGGGTTCTGTTTTTATACCAGCTATTTCATCCTTCAGCTCCTGTATCACTTTATTGTGATTCTCATTTTCCTTGGATTGGGTTTTGCCATCTTCCTGAGTCTCAGTGATCTTTGTACCTATCCATAGTCTGGATTGTATTTCTGTTATTTCAGCCAGTACAGCCTGATTAAAAACTCTTGTTGGGGAATGGGTGTGGTCATTTGGATGGCATACAATACTCTGAACATTTGAGTTACTGGAGCTCTTGCATTGGTTCTTTCTCATCTCTGTGTGTGGGTGTTCCTTTATCTGCATTGTAGATTAAGTATAGTCAACAGACTTCTCTTTTGGATGTTTTCACCAGGCCAAGGCTTTGTGCAGTGTCTTTATTTGAAGCTGACTTCTTGACTCTGGTTTCAGAGGTGGGTACATTAGTGAGGTATTTTTGATGTTAAAGCCTTGGGGTGTGATCCAGCAGGTGGCTTAGGCTTTTTGGTCAGTTGGTAGACTTGTTTGGTTGTGTGGCTCCCCTATGTTTCCTCACAATTGCAGCTGTGTTCTCTGTCAATGTTCTGAAAGTGTGAGTTTCTCTCCCCCTTGAATGCTGGCTGTAGATTGTGATTTGGTACTTCTGGGCTGCCCACTGCAGCTTTGGGGCGATCTCAGTGTTTATGTTTCTTTCTCAAGTTGGAGGCAGCAGAGAAAGGGATCTTATTAGTAGTTGTGACTGAGGGTCATTTGCTTGTTTCCTGGGGGCTCCAACCCAGAGAGATATAGGTCAGCAGCCCCTCAGGGCAATCAGACCAGGATGGAGGGTCTGTACTGTGGCCCCAGGCCAAGGGTTCCCTGTCTAGTCACAAGCACTGTGGGGTGTGTGGGACCTGTGGGAGACGTACTGGCCTCCTCTCCTTGGGCTGATTACAACTGGTTGGAGGTGTGGACACGACACTTAGGGTTTTTACTCTCTTATTGGTCCGGCAAGGGCAGATCCACTGCAGCGGCAGTCTCAGAGAGGCTTTTAGTTTCCCCTAGAGGCCCTGTCCAGGGAGTTGCCAAGTTGCTACTTGCTCGGTAGCTCTGGTAGAGGGTGGCTGGAGACACAAGCCTGGAAGACCTGTCTGGTGAGGAGATCTGAGAATGGGCACCTACTTAACACTCTGGCCAATTTTCCATAGGGCTGCTGTGGTATGTTTGCTCCAGTACCTGGTTGCCTCGGATTTTCTAGTACCTGGAGGTATCACCAGTGAAGGCCGCAAAACAGCAAAGATGAGAGCCTGTCCCTCTCTCTGGGAGCTTTGTCCCTGGGAGGTACAGGCCTGTTGCTGGCCCAAAGGCACCTGTAAGAGGTGGGTAGAGACCTGGGAGGTCCCACCCAGTAAGAAGGAGCAAGATTGAGGACCCACTTAAAAACGCAGTCTTACCATGTGTTGGTAGAGCAGCTGTTCCGTGCTGTGCTGGAGGTCCACTTCAGCCCCCGGTTGCCTCAGACACTCTGAAACCTGAAGGCTGGAAAAGCTAAGTCAGGCAAACAGCAAAGATGGTGCCTGCCACTCCCCCTGGGAGCACTGTCCTGGGAGAATTCAGCTCTCTGTTGGCTGGAAAACACAGGCAGGAGTGCTGGAGGCCCTGGTTGGGAGGTCCTGCCCAGTGAGGAGAAGTGGGACTGGGGACCCACTTAAGCAGTTTGGCCGCATTTTGGTAGAGCAGCTGTGCTTTCTGGGAGTCTTTTCTGCCCCTGGTCTGCTCAGACTCTCCAAATCCCAAAGATGGGAATGACTGAGTCACCCAGACAGCAGAGATGGCGACCTGCCTCTCCCTCTGGGAGCATCATCCCAGGGAGAATTCAAATCTGTGTTGTCTGGAGAACACAGGCAGGGATGGCTAGAGGCCCCACTTGGGAGGTTCCACCCATAGGAGGAACAGGATCAGGTACCTGCTTAAAGTAGCAGTCTAGCCACATTTTGGTAGAGCAGTTGTGCTATGCTGGGGGATCCTTTCCACCTCTGGTCAGCTTGGACTCTCCAAAGCCCAGAGGCTGGAATGGCTAAGGTGCCCAAACAGCATAGATGGTGGCCCACCCCTCCCCTGGACGCTCCTCCCTAGGGAGGTGCAGTGCTGCTACCGGTGGCTGGGTAGAATTCCAAGCCAGTGGGTCTTATCTTGTGGGGTGCCGTGGAAGTGGGGCCTGTAGGTTTTGGCTGCTTAGCCCTCTAGATTCAGCCTCTTTCCAAGGGGTATGTACAGGGGTCCAGCCTTCCACTTTGCCAGAGCTGCAACTTCTTTTGCTGGAAAGCCCAGTATCTAAGCCTCCAGGGTTTCCATGCATGTCTGAGCAGCATCTCTGCCAAGACTCCATGTAGCTCTGTCTGTGAGACCGAAGGCCCTGGTGGAATGGGTTCACAAGGAGATCTCCTGACCCAAGGTTTGCAAAGATTCATGGGAGAAGTGTGGTTTCCTGAGGTCACACATTGACTCACTGCTTCCCTGGGCAGGGGAGGTTCCCCTGGCTCTGCGTTACTCCTGGGTGGGCTGTTGTCCTGTCTTGCTTTTCTTCATTCTCCATGGGTCAAGTTGTTTCCTTGATTAATCCCAATGTGAGTACCTGGATGTTTCAATTGAAGGTGCTATATTAACTTGTCTTTCTCTATGAGAGCCATGCACACTGGCTGCTTCTGGTCGGCCATCCTGACTACTCCCCTGGAATTCCTTTTCTATAAGAATGCTGCATTTAGGACCCCAAACTCTTCTGGTTTGTAGGCTTTCTGCTGAAAGGTTTGCTGTTTGCCTGATCGGGTTCCCTTTGTAGGTGACCTTCCCCTTTTGTTTTGCTGCCTTTAACATTTTTTCTTTCATTTTGACTTTGGCAAATCTAATGACTATATATGTCTTAGGGAATGGTCATCTTGTATAGTATTTTGCAGGATTCTCTGCATATCTTGAATTTGAATGTTGACTTCTCTAGAGAGGTTGGGGACATTTTCATGGTTGTTATCCTCAAATATGTTTCCCAATTTCCTTGCTTTGTCTCCCTCTCTTTCAGGGATGGCAATGAATCACATATTTTGTCTCTTTACATAATCCCATATTTCTCAGAGGTTTTGTTTATTCCTTTTTATTCTTTTTTCTTTTTCTGACTGAGCTAATTTCAAGAACCAGTCTTCAAGCATTGAGATTCTTTCCTCAGTTTGGTCGAATCTGCTATTAATACTTGTGATTATATTATGAAATTCTCGAAGTGTGCATGTCTATCAGATCAGTTTGCTTCTTTCTTAAAATGGCCCTTCGATATTTCGGCTTCTGTATCCGTTTGTCATATTCCTTAGATTCCTTGGATTGAGCTTTGACATTCTGTTGAATCTTGATGATCTTCATTCGTATCCATGTTCTGAATTCTATGTCACTCATTTCAGCCATTTCAGCATGGTTAAGAACCATTGCTGGGAAACTAGGTAGTTGTTTGGAGGTAATAAGACACTCTGGCTGTTTGAGTTGCCAGAGGTCTTGTGCTGGTTCTTTCTCATGTGTGGGCTGATGTTCCTTCAACCTTTGATGTTGCTGTCCTTGGATGGGTTTTTTTGCTTTTATATTCTTTGATGCCCTTGGGTGTTTGATTGTGATATAAGGTAGGTTCAGTCAATTGGCTTCATTTCTGGAAGATTTTAGTGGGCCAAGGCTTAGCTCAGCACTCCTCGGCTGTGTGCTATAACTCTGGGGAACTGGTACCTGGCCCCTGGCTTTGTTCTCTGGCCCCTCAAGGTTAGGAAGCTGCTGCACTGGAAGGGCCAAGGTGTTTTCAGTCCACTGGTCACAATACTCCTATGGGTGGTACCGGCCAAACCACTTCATCGAGGTGGTGGCAGTGGGATTCATGCTCCTTCATGTGTGCCAGCATCTGCAGAAGTATAGCGAGGTACACCCTCATTGGCTGGGGCAGGGTACCAGTGGAAGCGAGGCAGTGATGTACATGCAGGTACTTATGCAGTTGTGGCAGGGGTGGGGGTACTGGCATCCATGCATGCTCTCTTGCTGCTATCATGGCAGGAGCAGGGTGCTGGCAGGGGTGTGGTTGCTGGTATCATTGTGTGCCTTCATGTCGGTGGCAGTGTATCTCTGTGCCCACACATCAGTGGGGGAATAATGGCAGGGTACACTCATGCTGGCAGTTCTAGGGTGTCAGGGTGCACACACATACATGTACCAGCATGGGATGGGAGAGGAGGGTGACATGTGCCAGCAAAGCAGTGGGGAGTCAGGGCATGGGCAAATAGTATATGCCAGTAAAGTAGGTGAGGCAAGTCTGCCTTGGGGGTAAGCTGTGGGTGGGCTAGCATGTATTGGCAGGGGCTGGTCTGTTGGAACTCTGAGATGGTCAAGAATTGTCTGCCAGCAAAGGAGGCATGATAGGGCCCCCAGGAAGCACCCTGGTTGGGCATCTGAGGCCGCATTGCAAGTGGGCATGGTAGGCTGGAGCCCAAGGAGAGGCTAGCTGACAGGAGGGTGCTTAGATCAGACTGGCTTTGTCCTACAGGCAAGAGCACCTTCTCTGTCCAGGTCTGACGGTCACCCTAAGGCTAAAGGCTCCCACAGGAGCATGGTAAGCCTTGGGGGAGGGGCATCCTTGGATGTGCTCCAGTGCAGCTCTTCCTGTGCCAAGCCCTCTTGGTTTTGCACAGGCTGGAGCCCTGTACCTACAGCCTTTTCAGGCATCTCTCCCTGCCAGCTTAAGTGTCTGTTGGGGAAATGATCTCCTGCTGCTAGGATCCTGGCAGTCTGTGGTGAGAGCGGGCCGCTCCTCACTTGTTCAACTTGCCTTTTCCCCAGAAGATGCTGGGGGCTAGGAACAAGTCCCTGTGCTTAGCCTCCCCATGCTGGGTTCCCGGCTTCCTCCCTCTTCCACCCAGTGTCTGCTTCCTCCCTCTGTCCACTCTAAATGCCTTCCCTCCAAAGATCTGTTCAGAGTCTGCCAGTCTTCCTGATGTCCAAGTCTCTTATCAATATAATCTTTTTCAAAATTTTAATGACATTTTTCATAGAAAATGGAAAAGTTTCCTAAAATTTATATCAAACCTCCAGTCTTGAGTAGCCAAAGCAACCCTGAGCAAAAGAAACAAAGCTGAAGGCATTATGCTTCCTGACTTCAAACTATGTTACAATGCTATAGTAATTGAAACAGCTTGGTACTAAAACAAAAACAGATACATAGACCAATGGAACAAAGTAGAGAACCCAGAAATTAATGTATGCATATTATGGTCAACTAATTTTTGACAAGACACCAAGAGTACACAATAGGGAAAGGATAATCTCTTCAGTAAATAGTGTTCAGAAAACTGAATATTCACATGCAAAAAAAAAAAAAAAAAAAGGAAAAAGAAAGAAGGAAAGAAAGAAAACAAAGAAAGAGAGAGAGAAATCGGACCTTTCTCTTATATCATACACAAAAATCAACTCAAAACAAATTAAATAATTTAACATAAGACCTGAAACTGTAAAATTACTAAAAGAAAATATAGGGGAAAAGCTAATTGACATTGTTCTTGGCAAAGATATTTTTGGACTTAACACCCAAAGTACAGGCAACAAAGAAAAGATAAATAAGTGGAACGACATTAAACTGAGAAGTTTCAAGCCAAGTGTAGTGGCTCATACCTGTAATCCCAGTGCTTTGTGATACTGACACTGGAGGATTGCTTGAGGTCAGGAGTGCCAGGACTTTGAGATCTACCTGGGCAACATAGTGAGATTCCCATCTCTACAAAAAGTTAAAAAATTAGCCAGACGTGGTGGCATGCACTTGTAGTCCCAGCTACTCATAAGGCTGAGGCAGGAGGGTTGGTTGAACCCAGGAGTTTGAGGCTTCAGTGAGCTATCACCTCATCACTATATTCCAGGCTGGGTGATAGAACAAGACCCTGTCTAAACAAACAAACAAACAAACAAATGAAGTTTCTGCAAAGCAAAGGAAACAATCCACAAAATGAAAAGGCAACTTACAGAATGAGAGATAACATGTGTAAACCATGTATCCAATAAGGTGTTAATATCCAGAATATTTAAGAAACTCAGTAGAAAACAACAACAACAACAACAACATTAAAAAATGGGCAAAGAGGCCAGGCGCAGTGGCTCACACCTATAATTCCATCACTTTGGGAGGCCAAGGCAGGTGGATTGCTTGAGGTCAGGAGTTCAAGACAACCAGCCTGGCCAACATGGTGAAACCCCATCTCTACTGAAAACACAATAATTAGCCAGGTATAGTGGTGTATGCCTGTAGTCCCAGCTACTCAGGAGGCTGAGGCCCGAGAATTGCTTGAACCTAGGAGGCAGAGGTTGCAGTGAGCCAAGATCATGCCATTGCACTCCAGCCTGGGCAACAGAGCAAGACCCTGTCTCAAAAAAAAAAAAAAAAAAAAAAAAAAGATAAATGCCTTTACCATGTTCCATTACCTGGATCACAACTCCTTGCCTTATCTTAAAATCACTCATATTCCCTTCCACTAAATAATAAAAATGGGCAGAGGATCAGAAAACATACAGATGGCCAACTGATATATGAAAAGACACTCGATATCACTACTCATCAGAGAAATGCAAATCTAAACCACAAAATTTAATAATGCCTTACATCTGTCTAGATGGCCAGTATAAAAAACAATCAAAAGATAACAAGTGTTGGCAAGGATGTGGAGAAAAGGGAACCTTCCTACTCTATTGGTGGGAATGTAGATTAGGACAGCCATTATGGAAAACAGTATGGAGGTTCCTCAAAAAATTACAAGTAGAACTGCCATATGATCCAGCAGTTCTACTTCTGGGTTATTTATTGAAAGAAGATAAAATCAGTATTTGGAAGAGATATTTGCACTTCTATGTTTATTGCAGGATTTTTAACAGTAGCCAAGATATTAAGACAACCTAAGTAGCTGTCAACAGAAGGATGGATTAATAAACTACAGTGTATATAACACACACACACACACACACACACACACACACACACCACAATGGAATACCATTTCAGATTTAAAAAAAAAAAAAAAGGAAATCCTGCGATTTGCAGTAACAGATGAACCTGGAGGTCAATAAACTACATGAAATATGCAAGACACAGAAAGACAAATACCACGTGATCTCATGTATTAGATATGGAGCCTAAAAATAGTCAAACTTATAGTAACAGAGAGTAAAATGTTGATTACCAGAGGCTGGGGGATAGGAGAAAAGGGGAGATATTGGTCAAAGGGTACAAGCCTTCAGTTATAAGATGATTAAGTGCTGGAGACCTATATTGTGTACTTGAAAATTGCTATGATAGTAGATCTCAAGTGTTCTCACCATACATACACACACAAAAATCCAAAACAGAACAAAACAAAAAACCCAACAAAACCTCAAAAGGGATAAACTTAAAGTTAACTGCTTCTAAACACATGATAATCAAACTTCTAAACATAGAAGATTACAGCAAAAAATCTTGAAACCTGCCAGAGAAATATAATTTATTACATATAGGGAACAACAGTTCAAGTGAATGCAGGGTTTTCAACAGGAACCATGGAGGACAGATGACAGTGAAATAGCATCTTTAGAGTTCTAAAAGAAAAGCACTGCTAACCCAGAATTCTGTATTCAGTGAAAATGTACTTCAGAGATGAGGACAAAATAAAGAAATTCCCAGATAAAGGAAAACTAAGAATTATTACTAGCAAATCTGGTCTAAAAGAAATGCTAACAAAAGTTCTTCAGGCTAAAGGGAGATGGTATCAGAAGAAAACTTGGAACTTCATGAATGAAGAAAGAGCAACAGAAACTGTGAATATCTAAATAAATACAGCAGAGTTTTTCTCCTCTATTAAGGTCTTTCAATATGACTACTCAAGCAATCCTCCCATTTCAGCCTCTCAAAGTTCTGGGATTACAGGTGTGAGCCACCATGCCTGGCCCTGACTCTACTCTTGAAAGCAAAATTTATGGCATTGCTGGGGAAGGTTTCCAGGTTTGCATGTATAGTACAAGTGACTTTTAAAGCAAAGGCTACAGAGTAAAGGGAACTATGTGGTTATATATATTTAGTTGAAATGCTAAAATGTTAACTGTAGACTATTAAATATTAGGTGTTCTATTTCATAAAGTAGTGACTATAAAGATACTAAGAGTTTTTAGCCAAAAAAGCCAATAAATAAATTAAAATGGAACATTAAAACATTAAAGTTATCCAAAAAGAAGGTGGTGAAAAAAGGGATAAACAGAAAACAAACAATAAAATGGTAGACCTAAATCAAACCTTATTAATAGATATGTTAAATATAAATGGCCTAAGCACTCCAATTAAAAGAGATTTTTTGACTGGGTAAAAAAAGGACTCAATATATACAGAAACCCATTTTAATTATAGTGATAAAGATAGGTTAAAAGGATAGAAAAAGTTATTCCATGCAGAAAGTAATTGAAAAAAAGTTGGAGTAGATTTAATTATATATCAAAGTAGATTTCAGAACAAAGAAAACTGACAGGGATAAAGTTGGACATTTACATATTAAAAAGCAGATTAATTTGCCAAGAAGACAGAACAAAACCAAAGTATGTATGCAGCTGATAACAGAGTCTAAAAAGCAAAAGGTAACAGAACTGAGAGGAGAAAATAGAAAAATCTACATTATACTTAGCAATGTCAACACTCCTCTCATAATAGTAGATCAAGTAAACAGAAAATTAGTAAGGGTACAAATGATCTTGGCAATATTATCAGCCAACTGACATTTATAAAACACCCCAACTTTTTTTTTTTTTTTTTTTTTTTGAGACAGAGTCCCGCTCTTTCCCCCAGGCTGGAGTGCAGTGGCGCGATCTTGGCTCACTGCAAGCTCCTCCTCCTGGGTTCACACCATTCTCCTGCCTCAGCCTCCCAAGAAGCTGGGACTACAGGTGCCCGCCACCACGCCCGGGTAATTTTTTTGTATTTTTAGTAGAGACGGAGTTTCACAGTGTTAGCCAGGATGGTCTCCATCTCCTGACCTCGTGATCCACCCACCTTGGCCTCCCAAAGTGCTGGGATTACAAGTGTGAGCCACCGTGCCCGGCCCCCAACTTTTTTTTAAGACAGGATCTCACCCTGTCACCCAGGTTGGAGTGCAATGGCACAATCATGGCTCACCACAGCCTCCACATCCCCAAGCTCAAATGATTCTCCCACCTCAGGTTCCTGAGTAGCTGGGACTACAGGCACACACCACTACACCCAGCTAATTTTTTGATTTTTTATAGAGGCTAGGTCTCACTATGTTGCCCTGGCTGGTCTCGAACTACTGGGCTCAAGTGGTCCTCTCACTTCAGCCTTTCAAAGTGCTGAGATTACAAGTGTGAACCACTGTGCCTGGCCACCCCAACATTTATAATTAACATTTATAAAATACTCCTCAGTGGCAGAATATATATTCTTTTCGAGGGCAAGTGGAACATTAAAAAAGATCTTATTCTGAGCCATAAAAGAAACCTTAGCAAATTTAAAAGAATTGAAATCATATAAAGTATGTTCTCTGTAATGGAATGAAACTAGATGTCAAGAACAGAAGATATCTGAAAAATCACCAAATGTTTGAAAATGTAAAAATACACTTTTTTAAACAAATTATACTTTACATGTGCCATGGTGGTTTGCTGCACCCATCAACCTGTCACCTACATTAGGTATTTCTCCTAATGTTATCCCTACCCTAGCCACCCACCCCTAGACAGGCCCCAGTATATGACGTTCCCCACCCTGTGTCCATGTGTTCTCGTTGTTCAACTTCCACTTATGAGTGAGAACATGCAGTGTTTGGTTTTCTGATCTTGTAATAGTTTGCTGAGAGTGATGGTTTCCAGCTTCATCCATGTCCCTGCAAAGGACATGACCTCATCCCTTTTTGTGGCTGCGTAGTATTCCATGGTGTGTATGTGCCACATTTTCTTAATCCAGTCTATCATTGATAGACATTTGGGTTGGTTCCAAGTCTTTGCTAATAACTCTTGGATCAAAGAGGGATTCTCGAGGAAAATTAGTCTTTTGAACTGAATGAAAAACTAAAACGCGTTGTATCAAAATGTGTAGCATGCAATTAAAGCAGCACTTAGAAGGAAATTTAAAACATTAAAAACTTACTTAGAAAGAATTGTCTGAAATCAGTAACCTAAGCTTTCACCTTAAGAAACTAAAAAAGGGGCCGGGCCCGGTGGCTCACGCCTGTAATCCCAGCACTTAGGGAGGCCAAGGCGAGTGGATCACCTTAGGTCAGGAGTTTAAGGCCAGCCTGACTAACATGGTGAAACCCCGTTTCTACCAAAAATACAAAAAATTAGCCAGGCATGGTGGTGTGTGCCTGTAATCCCAGCTACTTAGGAGGCTGAAGGCAGGAGAATCACTTGAACCTGGGAGGCGGAGGGTGCAGTGAGCCAAGATCGCGCCATTGCACTCCAGCTTGGGCAAGGAGTGAAACTCCATCTCAAAAAAAAGAAAAGAAAAGAAAAAAGAAAAAGAAACTAAATAAAGAAGGGAAAATTAAACCCAAAACAAGCAAAATGGAGGAAATAATAGATAAAAGCAGAAATCAATGAAATTAAAAACAAAAACAATAATTGGTGATATGAAAGGATGATTGCTTGAAATCATTAATAAAATTCATAAACTTCTGGTTAGGCTGATCAAGAAAATGAGAAAGGATACAAATTTCCAATATCAGGAATGAAAGAGGGCATATGACTACAGACCTTACATTCAAAGGATAAAAAGTTAATTGTGGAGGAAATGGGCCAATTTCTTGAAAGACAAATCCTAACAAAACTCATAAAGAAGTAGATAACACAAATAGTCCTATATCTATTAAAGAAGTTGAATCAGTATTTAAAACCTTCCAACAATGAAAACTCCAGGCCTAGATATTTTTGCTGTTGATTGCAACCAGCCATTAAGGTAATAATAGTAATCCTATTCAATCCATCTCAGAAAATAGGAGATAACATTTCTCAACTCATTTTATAAGGAAACTATTAGCCTGATACAAAATTAGACAAAATATTACAAGAAAAGGAAACTCTACTCATACTGAGGTATATTGCTTGTTCAGTTCAAGACTAATTCAATAAAGTAAATATTGCTATAAAGCAAGTCACAAAAAATTTTTGGTTTCCCCAGTGCGTATTAAAAGTTGTATTTACACTACACTGTAATCTATTAAGTGTGTAATAGCATTATGTCTAAAAAATGTACATACCCTAATTAAACTACTTTACTGCTAAAAATGCTAACAATCATCTGAGCCTTCAGCAAGTCATTACCTTTTTGCTGGTGGAGGGTCTTGCCTCAATATTGATGGCTGCTGACTGATTGATGTGCTGGCTGCTGAAGGATGGGGTGGATATGACAATGTCTTAAGACAACAATGGGCTGGGCACAGTGGCTTACAGCTATAATCCCAGCACTTGGGAGCCAAGGCAGGAGGATCACTTGAGTTCCAGACCAGTCTGGGCAATATAGCAAGACCCCATCTCAACAACAACAACAAAGAGACAGCAGTGAATTTTGCTGCATCCATGGACTCTTCCTTTCATGAAAGGTTTCTCTCTAGCATGCAATGTTATTTGGTAGCGTTCTACCCACAGTAGAACTTCTTTCAAAATTGGAGTCAATACTCTCAAACCCTGCCACTGCTTTATCAACTAAGTTCATTTAATATCTTAAATCTTCTGTTGTTGTCATTTCAATAATGTTCACAGTGTCTTCACCAGGAGTACATTCCATTTCAAGAAACCACTTTCTTTGCTCATCCATAAGAAGGAACTCCTCATCTGTTCAAGTTTGATCATAAGATTGCAATAATTCAGTCACATCTTCAAGTTCTACTTCTAGTTCTCTTGCGATTTCCATGTTATCTGCAATGACTCCTTCCACCAAAGTCTTGAACCCCTCTAAGTCATCCATGAGAGTTGGAATCAACTTTTTCCAAATTCCTGTTAATGTTGATATTCTGTTAATGTTGATATTTTAACCTCTTCTCATAAATCTCGAATGTTCTTGACGAATCTTTTCCAGAAGATTTTCAATTTACTTTGCCCAGATCCATCAGAAGACTCATTGTCTATGGAGGCTAGAGCCTTAAGAAATATACTTTTTCAATAGTAAGACTTGGGTCTAAATTACTTCCTGATCCCTGGGCTACAGATTGGATGTTGTGTTAGAAGCCATGAAAACAACATTAATCTCCTGGTACATCTCTGTCATAGTTCTTGGGTGACTAGGTGCATTGTCAATGAGCAGTAATACTTTGAAAGGAATCTTTTTTCTGAGTAGTGGATCAAAACAATGGGCTTTGAATATTTAGTAAGCCAAACTGTAAACAGAGGAGCTGTCATCCAGGCTTTGTTGCTCCATTTATAGAGCTCAGGCAGAGTAGATTTAGCATAATTCTTAAATACCCTAGGATTTTTTGGAATGGTAAATAAGCATTGGCTTCAACTTAAAGCCACCAGCTGCGTTAGCCCCTAATAAGAGAGTCAGCCTGTCCTTTGAAGCGTTAAAGCCAGGCATTAACTTCTCTTCTTTTACTATGAAAGGTTTAGATGGCATCTTCTTCCAATATAAAGCTGTTAGGTCTACATTGAAAATCTGTTGTTTAGTGTAGCCACCTTCATCAGTTATCTTAGTTCAGTCTTCTGGATAAGTTAGCACAACTTCTCCATCAGCACTTGCTGCTTCACCTTTTTGTTTTATTATTATTATTTTTTTATGTACAGAGATGGCTTTTTTCTGAAACTTCATGAACCAACCTCTGCTAGCTTCAAACTTTTCTTCTGCGGCGTCTTTGCCTCTCTCATCCTTCATAGCATTAAAGAGAGGACCTTACTGTGGATTAGGCTTTGGCTTAAGAGAATGTTGTGGCTGGTTTGGTCTTCTATTCAGACCACTCAAACTTTCTTCATATCAGCAATAAGGCTCTTTCACTTCCTTCATGTGTTCACTGGAATAGTACTTTTAATTTCCTTTGAACTTTTTCTTTGTATTCACCACTTGCCTAACTGGCACAAGAGGCCTAGGTTTTGGCTATCTCAGTTTTTGACATGCCTTCCTCAATAAGATTAATCGTGTACAGCTTTTGATTTAAAGTGAGATATATGCCACTCTTCACTTAGAGGCCATTATAGGATTATTAATTGGCCTAATTTCAGTATTGTTGTGTCTCAAGGGAATAGGGAGACCTGAGGAGAAAGAGAGAGATGGGAAATGGCCGGTAGCTGGAGCATTCAGAACACACACATTTATCAATTAAGCTTGCCATTTTATACAGGTGTGGTTCATGGCGCCCCAAAATTATTACAATAGTAACATCAAAGATCACTCATCACAGTTCACCATAACAGATACAATAATAATGAAAAAGTTTGAAATACTGTGAGAATTACCAAAACATGACAGGGAGACACAAAGTAAGCACATGCTATTGGAAAAATTGCACCGAAAGACTTGCTGGATGCAAGGTTGACACAAACCTTCAACGTGTAAAAAATACAATATCTGCAAAGCACAATAAAGTGAAATACATTAAAACAAGAAATGACTGTACATACCAGTACACCTCATGGACACAGACATCAGAATCTTCAATAAATATTGACAGATCAAACTGGAATGCAAGAATGCTTCAGTACTTGAAAATGGATGTATTTCATTTTATTAGCAGACTAAAGAATAAAAATGATAGGATCCTACTAATAGGTGCATAGAAAAGCATTTGACAAAATTCAACTTTAATTCATGTTAAAAAAAATCTTTACAGCTAGGTATTAGAAGAAAACTTCCTTAAAGGGCATCTACAGAAGTTTACAACAGGGTTTCTCAACATTGATACTGTTGATATTCTGGATGGGTAATTCTTCATTACAGATTGGAAAACTCGTTGTTAAGATGTCAGTTCTTTTCATATTGTTTTATAGATTCAATGCAATCTCAAAGTTTTAGAAGGCTTTTTTTGTAGATATAAAACTTACTCTAAAATTTATATGTCTAGGCAAAGTAACTGGAATAGGCAAAACAATTTCATGAAGGAAGAACTAAGTTGGAAACTCAAATTATCTGATTTTAAGACTTACTGTTAAGATGCAGTAATCAGTGTGTTATTGGTAAAAGCTTATACGTATAGATAAATAGAGCAGACCCAGCACTTTGGGAGGCCGAGGCAGGCGGATCATGAGGTCAAGAGATCGAGACCATCCTGGCCAACATGGTGAAATCCCATCTCTACTAAAAATACAAAAAATTAGTTGGGCATGGTAGCACGTGCCTGTAGCCCCAGCTACGCAGGAGGCTGAGGCAGGAGGATTGCTTGAACCCAGGAGGCAGAGATTGCAGTGAGTCGAGATCGTGCCACTGCACTCCAGCCTGGTGACAGAGTGAGACTCCGTCTCAAAAAAAAAAAAAAAAAAAAAAAAAAAGAATAGAATAGAATAGAGAGTTTGGAAAAAGATACACATAAATATGCTTGATTCATTTTGCTAATGCAAAGACAATTTCATGGAAAAGTGATAACCTTTAAGAATAATAGGCTAGGATTAATTGAATACCTGTGTGCAAAAAAAAAGTGAACCTTGTTCCTTACCTCACATTTAGCTCAAGGTGGGTTATAGGTGTAAACACAAAATGTAAAAGTATAAAACTCTTAAAAATGTAGAATATCTTTGTTTAATTAGGCAAACAGATTTTAGATATAACAACAAAAGTACAATCCATTAAACAAAAAAAATTGATAAAGTGGACTTCATCAAAATTAAAAGCTTTTACTCCCTGAAAGACACTGTTAATGATAAGACAAGGCATAGACCAGGAAAAAATATTTGCAAATCACATGTTTGACAAAGGGATTGTATGCATAATATACAAAGAATTGCTATAAAAACCTTAATAATATGAAAACCAATCCAATTTTAAAATATGCAAAGAGCTGAACAGATATTTCATCAAAGAAGATACACATATGGCAAGTAAACAAATGAAAAGATGTTCAACATCATTAGTAATTAGGAAAATGCAAATTCAAACCATATTAGGTAGCACTACACACCTTTATCAAGCTCTTTTGTCAAAAACTGGAAACAACCCAAGTATCTTTCATGTGATGCCTGGATAAACTGTTGTATGTTCATACACTGGACAAACTCAGTAATAAAAAGGAAAAAAAATTTCCACACACAACAACATGTATAAATGTCAGATACATTATGGCTAAATGAAAGAAGCAAAACCCTAAAGATTACGTATGATTCCATTTATATGACATTCTAGGAAAGACCAAACTGTAGTATCAGAGAACAGATAAGTGGTACTAGGGATTAAAGGTTGCAGGGTGGGGGTTGACAAGCATCATGATGAAGGAGTTTCTTTGCATGATGAAACTGTTATGTGTCTCATAATCATGGTTACATGACTCCCTCTATTTTTCAAAACTCATAGCAACAGCAAATTTACTACAAGGAATAAATGTATAACTCCCCCAAATTCTATTGCTTCCCATTAAAACATTTTAAAATGGGGAGGATCCCACTTTCGATTATAATATGTAAGATTCTAACTCCTTGATCCTCACTTATTTTAGAAAGCTGGACAATTTGTCACAGAGCCCAGTAAAAAGAAGTCCCAAGGAATACTCCTTTACCATCACCCCTCCATATTTTTCTTGGCCAAGTATTACTTCTACTTTTTCTCTGCTTTGGAAATGAATCATAACCTGAGTTCCCTGTTCTTTTTCTGAAACAGATGCCTTAAATTTACACTTGATGTATACTTTCTGCTTTTTTTGGCTTCCCTCCACCCACAATTTTTTTTCTTACAATTTTTCTATTCTCTTTACCTCATTCATTCTCTTATTCAACAACAAATTTAGGCCCTGTGCTGGGGGCCCAGGATATGAGATTAATAAGGTATGCTTTCACATGAAACTCAGTCTTGAAAGGTAGAATAAGGACACATTAACAAATAATTGTGTGTACTAATGTCATCAAGTCATAATAGAAGTATATTAACGAGCATGGTGTAACACAAAGGAGTATATCTGTTTTTCTTGGATGGGTGAGGGAAGGCTTTACACAAGAAAGAGGCATAGAAGTACCTCAAATGAAAATTACAGTTCTTTAAAATGTCATCTGTGACTTTGATTATTTATGGACTGACTGGTAGGCCACATAGATTAAGAAAAATAGAAATTTAGCAGTAAAGTCATCAGAGACAACGTTGTAAACTTCAGCTTGGTGACATGAGGATGGGATGTATTAGTGATTTTTGTAAAGTTTATATGGAAAATAACTGATTAAAATGAAAAAGTTAGCCAGGTGCAGTGGCTCATGCCTGTAATCCCAGCACTTTGGGAGCCAAGGCAGGCAGATCACTTGAGGCCCAGGAGTTTGAGACCCACCTGGGCAACATGGTGAAACCCCGCCTCTAGAAAAAAAAAAAAAAAAGAATTAACTGAGCATGTAGGTGTGCATCTGTAGTCCCAGCTACTTGGGAGGCTAAGGTGGGAGGGTCACCTGAGCCCAAGGAGACCAAGGCTGCAGTGAGCCATGATTGTGCCACTCCACTCCAGCCTGGACAACAGAGGGAGACTCTATCTCCAAAAGAAAAAAAAAAAAAAGAAAGAAAAGAAAAAGCTGAGTATACCAGACAAGTATAGACTGTCAATTAGAAATGTAGCACTTATTAAAGAAAAAATGATTAAATGTAAGACACTGTTAAATTGCGTATAATTTAATCTGCTAATTATACTTATTAACATTTGGCTTGCTGACTCACATTCAGTTTAGATTTTATATTGATTCTTAATATTTTTTCAGTTATATTTGTGTACAGCTAGTTTTTCCCCCACAACTTACTGTTCTCTACCCTTATCAGTCTTTTGATTTTTCTTGACTATATCAGGCACATTCTACCACAGGGCACCATTGCACTGGCTGTTTACTGTGTAAGGAGCACACTTCTTCTAGTATCTGAATGGTTAACACCCTCATCCATTTGAAAACTACTCCATGAGGTTTAACCCTTCCACTATATTTTAAATAATAAATCACCTCCCCTCCTTTCAACCTCAAGCACTCCTGACCTCTTTCCCCTGAGTTACATTAAGTCTTAACTTCTAGCATATTATTTTATGTACTTATTATGATTATTGTTTATTATCTTTCTTCACCTCCACTAAAACGTAAGCTTTACCAGGACTAAGATCTTCATCTGTTTTGTTCATTGGTGTATCCAAATCTCTAGAGCAGTGCCTACGATATGGCAGAAACTCAGTCATTATTTGTTGAAAAATTGATGGAAGAGTAATAATTTCTTTATTTTTTTCTGATAGGACTTGGATTTGGACTCTTAAAACGAGTTAGAACTCCTGTGACTTGACATTTTAGAATTTCTCTAATCCAATTGAACTGTTATGATACCTAAGCATTGCTCAGGAACTCTGGCTTGAACCTCAAAGCTCTTCCTGACTTAGATGATAAACAGTTACCTCCCCATGAGGCCATCTTTTGAAGTACAGTGTAAACACTGTTAGAAACAATGGATAATCATAAACCTGTTCATTTGGCTTTTGAGTTTTCTTTGTTCATTTTTGAAGATTTTCCAACTTTTGTTGGAAAATGAGACTTAAATTGTTTCTGTAGTAACATATGAACACAATTCATCCAATAAAATCCCATATACTCAGGCCAAAACATGATACCAGAGATAAGAAATTGGCTCTTAAGGTCACCAGAGTTTGGCTTTTAGACAATGGGAGAGGCCACTCTGAGAAACACCCTTTTAAGTTATGTACTTGGAAATTCAGGAAAGGTGAAGCAGATATTGTATCTCAGAAAATCATCGTATTCATGTAATTCTCGAAGCATCCGGGGTTATGTATACCTTAGTAAATTTGATTCAATGTTTTAAATTGCATATGGAATAAAATGAATCTTATATTAATGTTTTATAATACATTTAAGATTTGGGAGAAAATAATCACTACATAGTTTCTAAAAACAGAGAGCTACACATTTTATATAATGTAATATATACATATATATACACATAATCTTATGTTAATTTATACGTATTTAGAAATGAAATTGAATATATTTTCATGTTTGTTTTTTTTCATTTTCTGTTCATGACTTTTGCCTATTTCTTCTGTGGAGTTTTCAATTACCCTAAAATAGGAAAAAAACTATTTATTATGTGGAACTAATTTTTATATAAACCCATTTTGATCAGTAGTGACCTTTTTTCTCCGTTGATTAGTCTTCATACATGATTACTGTTGGTAGTTTGTTATTTTGTACTTATTTTTCATTTGAGACTTTATGATTTCTGTTTTAAAACATATGAAATATTTTTCTTAGTTCTGTAATGTTTTATATTGTTTTGAATGTCTAAAATTTTATAACACAATTCTCATATACTTGGTTACTTGCTTCTGTTTGAGTCATATTATTGTAGCATTCTTAATTACTGTGTTTGTTATAGGTATTTCTGGGTGAACAAAATCTTATGTATTTGTATTTATTTATAATGAAATATAGACAAAATGATCTTTATATTTTATAACCAAACTAGAATTTTCAAGGAATCATTTTCATTCACCAATTTAAATATTTACTTATTTACAGAATGAGAGATTTATTAATGGTTCTAAACTTTAGTACACTGGGGAATTTTTCAGGTTTATTTTACATGAACATCACTTTCAAAATCTCTTCAAATAAAATGATTCAAAATTTAGATTTGGCTTCTGGGGAAGGGGGATTATCACAAAGAAGATGATACTATGAAAAGAGTTAAATAAATTCTATTATTGATAAAATTATCTGAGATTTTTTTGAATGTCTTCTTTATAATAAGAGAGTTAAAGAAATGTTTTAGTCTACAATTAATCCAATTTCATGTCTAACAGAAATTGATGATCTCTGATGGTAATTCATGTTTATGTTCATTTATCTGTTTATAGCCCTTTGAGTTTCTGTCAGAAAATTAATGAGACATTTCCAGTTTGACCTTGTGATTTTTGCAAATTAGCATAGAGCAATTTGCAGTACTTGTAATGAGCAAGTCATACTTTATTTTTAATCTTGGAAAATTGCTTTCTTTATTATTTTTGCTACATAATTCAACAATTTTGCTTTATTGCGCTAATATTTACTTTATTGTGCTAATATTACTTTAGCTAATATTGCTAAATTACTAATTAGCTAATTATTAATTAGCTAATATTGCTAATATTACTTTATTGTGCTAATCATCTAAAGAAAGTAAATATTTCTCATTTTATAGAAGAGGGGAAAGATTACACAATTTAGTGGACTTTGTTCATTTTAGGAGGGTATCATAATAATAATCCCAGTTCCTACATCTTTCTGATGTTCTAATTTCAATGAGTTGTCCTTTTCAAAATCATTTTATGGTATTGTTACCTCTTTTCCTTAAGGTGAACAATATCGCTGCAAGCTGCTTTGCTAGACGTCTAATGATAAATTCCCATTCTGATGTATTATTTGTTCTAATATGTAGCCTAATTAAGAGTTGACTGAAGTATGTTAGAATTTTGAATGCCAAATGTTTATGTGTGTTTGCACTATATTTTTACTTTAAATCTTTGAATGTTTAAATAGCTGTCATAGATTTTTTTTTAAAAATTTTTAAATTTTTTATAGAGACAGAGTCTCACTGTGTTGCCCAGTCTGATCTCGAACCGCTGAGCTCAAATGATCCTTCTGCTTCCACCTCCTAAAGGGCCGGGAATACAGGTGTAAGCCACTAAGCCTGGGGCTTAGATTTCTTGGTATAAGAACCTGAGATGACCCTGTAGTACAGATATATTTGATATAATTTAAAATATTTTTATTACTCTTATTATCCATAAATTCAAATACTTTAATTTGATGAAGAGTATTTTCATTAATAGTTGTCACTGTTTAGTTGATTGCCATTGTTCATGTGATCTATATTTTTATTTTATTAAACTGTTTTTACATTTTCTTTTCTTTAAAGTTATGACTTTTAAACTTCAAAAGATTTGCACTTGATAAACTTCAAAAGATTAGCACAATTTAGGTACTCAGTATTTTAAAAATTATTTAATCAATGAACAAATACTTTGTTTCTAAGATGTTAATACCTACCACCTACCTGTAAATGGCATTTTAAAGCAGTATTTTTAAAGCTTAAGAAAAGTTATATATAGTACTACATTTTAACTTCAGAACCTGTTAAAAGATGAAAAATGCTGTATAAAAGATAGTCTCATTGTTAGCTGAATTACAGTACTGTAGCATTTTTATCTGTTGCTTCGCTGAAAAATTTTCCTCCTATGTAAATACAAAGTGAAAGATTATAAGCAACTCGCCTTAACAGTATTAGTAATAGAATATGTTCTATATGATACTGCCAATTTATAGACAAGACTTGTGAAAAATCTGAATTATTATCTGATCACTTATAATTAGTTTTATTTGTTTTACAAATGGTAATCCATTTACAGACCATTTTATCTAGGAGTCTTTTCCATATTCCATCTTGGTACATTTATATAAAGGTATCTACCTGCAACTTTATTAGAAAAAAATATATATGCAGAGAGAGAGAGAGAAAATAGAATAAATATAGCAAAAGCTAAAGGTTTACTTTTTGCATAAGTGTTAAAATTCATCGATTATATCAATCACGATAGTGATTCAATGATCAAAGAAATGGAAATGAATAGAAAACAAAGTTGGAACATGGCTGACATGAAAAATATAGAAGAATAAATATCATATTCATGAATTAGAAACATATTCAGTCTTATCAAGGAAAATTTATTTGTTTAAAACAGTGGCCAATAGTCTTTTCTGTGTGAGGGCTAATTTCAATATTAATAAAATTATGAATCAATTATTTGATATTGAAAAGTACATACTTCTTGGGTCAGGAAATGCTGTCTGTCTTCAGTATTCAGTATAGAAGCATTCTTCTATTGCATATCCATCTCTGAGTTGATTCTGCCTTTGCCTGAAATTTCAGAAACTTACTCCTGAAATAACTATATGGTATAATTATACTGTTGTATTTGAATGCATTTTGTTCTTGAGCAAAATGCTTTCTGAACCTGGTTTCTTTGGTATTGTCTCAAGTATTTTTCTAAGCTACATAGTGTTAAATACTGTTTCACTTTCTTTTAACATTATATATTTTATAACAAAAGGTTTTGTTTCCATCTCAAATAAGAACCCCTTCTACAAACAAGCCCTGGGCCACTTTGAAATAATGTGAGCTTTGTCATACGCTTGTTTATTTAAAGAGCAGCACTTCTACTTCCTAAGGATTTACGTTTTATATAAAAAATATTTATATTCCTTCCCATTACATGTTTCACTACCTCATGTTTTTCCCCCTTCTTTCTGGGGTTGTCAGTGAGAACTCTAACCAACCAGGAAATACAACTGACTAATTATCCTCCATCAGTCAGGTCCTGCCTATCTCCTAAGGAGTAGGTCAGCTTGAAGTGACAGAGAAAACCGATTGCTGGGTCTTGGCAGCCTTGTCTCTGGGCCTACCTTTTCTCATCTGTAAAATGAGAGTTGTTGAAATTTGACTACATTAGATAACTTGGAATATAGTGGATTGTTGTTTGGTCCAGATATTTCTGGTTGCTTTTAACTTGTCTAGAATGGTTTAATCGTATTAAATTATAATTAAAGCAATTACATCCTACAAATAAGTGAAAAATTTAAGAAAATTTTCCCATGGTCTTTCACAGCCAAAATGAAAATCAGGGCACAGAGGCTAGCATACTAACAGCTTTTTAAAAAAATAACCAACATTATCTAGGCCAGGCATGGTGGCTCACAACTGTAATCCCAATGCTTTGGGAGACCACGGCAGGATAATCCATTGAGCCCAGGAGTTTGAGACCAGCCTGAGCAACATAGCAAGATCTGGTCTCTACAAAAAAAACACATAAAAACATTAGTTGAGCCTGGTGGCACGCACCTGTAGTCTTAGCTACTCACAAGGCGAAGGCAGGAGGATCGCTTGAGTCCAAGAATTTGAGGTTGCAGCGAGCTATGAATGCATCACTGAGCTCCAGCCAGGGTGACAAAGTGAGAACCTGTCTCTTAAACAATCAAACACAAAAACCCTATAAATTGAGTTTTGTGATATTTTCAGTAATTGTTTCCCACCTTATATAAGGGGTTGGTTAAGAAGTGCCATAAATCTGGTCATGATATGCTTATTTGGTACATTTTTGTAGTAAAATTTCTTTAAGTCAGATTTTCATGGAAATTGTTTTTACTTTGATAAGTTTTTAGATCTATAAATCACAAATAATATAGAGAACTTTGTTTTAGGACAGAGATAGTAAATGTGGTTTAAATATTAGGAATTAATGTTATTTGCAATGAAAAGCATTCTATTCTGATTTACATTCAATGTTGAGAAATTTCATTTTTGTTTGTTGTAGTTATAGCAAGAACATTATGTTCTAATATGAGCTTTAACTGTCGTACCAAGTTATAGATCCTTTTGGATATGTTTTTCCAAATTTAATATTTGTTTAAAATGTTATGGAAGTAAGAGGATAGAGTGAATGGCAGATGTGTAGATGTGGCACAGCTGTATGTATCTCCTTCCTTTCATTTTTCATGTCACATTACTAGCTCTATGTGTTTGTCTTTTATTGGTTTTATAAAGGATCTAAGTGTTTGGAAAGGTGTGGGACCATGTACTATTGGAGATTTCAGTGTTTGACTATGAGAGAAGGAAATGTTATTTTTTGGGAATGTTATTTCAGAAATTTGGCTTTGGAGTTTTCCCATATTGTTATACTAGCAATTTCTGAAAAATATAGCAGAAATTTCTAGTACTTTTTCAGTTGGTGATTGTTAAATAAGAGTTAGAAGCTGTAACAAATAAAACAGTGTTTTTGATAGAGTAGGCATTTAGTCAACATTGGTTAAACTGACCAACATTTTATATAATATCTAAGTGCTGCTCTCTACAGGGAAGAAAACATAAAAGTTTTAACAATTCTTAGGCAAAAAATGAATGGCTACATTTCAAAATATATTTGTTTATAACTTTTAGAAAAGTTAACATTTAAAAATGTGTATTTATTTTTAAACTTGGAAATTTTCTGAGCCATATAGTTCCAAAGTGAGTGATTTTTTTTCCTAACCAATCTTATAAGTTCTGAGGTGCATCGCCAGCAAGTTCAGTCAAGCTGTTGCTCTTCTTTGAGGTCTATTCTACTCATCAGTTTATTACATCTGAGAAAGAATGATGGAGGTAAAAGTAAACAGGAAACAATTTCTGCTCACATATTTTTGACTTACAGACACCTTAGCCTCTCCAATACAATAAGCTACAAGGAACTAGCTTCATTTACTTACCAAGTGTAGCTCATATTTATCTTAACAGAGTTCATTTATTTAGTAGGTAAAAGTAGTGTTTACTGCTTCAAAATTATATGTAGCCATCTTAGTTGGGCTATTCAGTTTGGAACTGTAAACATGATGGCAGGTTTCTTAAATATCTGTGTGTTGTTGTTGTTATTTTTTTTTTAAAGAGATTTCCCAAAGTTGCAGATGGCTGGCTCATCTCCAAATACCTCTTCAAGGTACTCTATGCTGGTGATGTCTCCCGCCACTGAGCTGCACGGGAGCATGGAATTGACTTTCGGGGGAGGGCTGTATCAGTTAAGTGATCTTTTTTAGTACATTGCATGGGTTTTGTAAAGCCTTCTTTTTTGTGTGTTTTTGTTTTTTTTTTTTAATCCAGAGAGCACAAGTATGCTTATGCTAATTTTAAAATTAAAATCTTGTAAATCCACACAATATAATAACCTATTTACTTTTTAAGTGCTGTATAATAATAAATATTACGTGTGAAGTAGCAGCTCAGGGAAGCTGTATGAATATTCCAGTCTCAGTAAAACATAGATGTGGCACCATAAACAATAACTGCTTTTTCATTCTTGAACCATTAGTGGGAATGTACTTCTTAGTTTCCTTTCTCCCAGGTAGAATGCATGCCTTTATTTACTTATTCAAACCTTTTCTTTAATTGAGTTTCTGCTATATGCAAAACACTGCTGGACCTTTGTACTTAATGATCTAGCTTTCTGTATTTTTTGCTTAGAAAAGCAATATAGTCATTATTTTTAAATAGTAGAACGAAAGAGAAAAAGTAAAAAACAAATGTCATTTCCTTAATTCTAATTCCCACAATTAATCCTTTCAAGCAATTTTATCTGTTTTATGTTCTGTACCTATAGTCTTAATCACTACTGACACACATTATACTTGATTTCTTCAGGAGTACGCATTTATGTGTAGCTCTCTGTGTGGACTTCAGCCGTCATGTACGATTTCATTCCACCAGTACTTTAAGCCTTATGTTAATAATGCTGGTGGAAGGGAAAAAACAAAACGTTTGTTCTCCATTTCAGAGAGAGTAAAATTACTGGGATAAAAAAGCCTATTAAATTGATTCAATATTCAGATTTTTGCTGAACCTGTTCATCTTAATCTTTTTGTTTTGGAAAATTAAGAGTTGACTAATTGTTATGGCATAGACACATACTTTAGATATTTGTATATGTTTGTGATAAATTCCTTACTAGTGAACTAGACATTACATTGTCAATACCAAAGGATAATAGTTACATTTTATAGATGAGTAACTGATTCTTAGTGCCTAAATGATATACTTGAAGTGTCCTGTAAGTAGCATGTAGAACTAGCAATGTAAGTACAATTGAGTATCTAATGTAGATTCTGACTTCCTCAGATTCAATTTAAAGTGTAACTAATTATTTTTAAGTGTTTATACTTGTTCTATTTTTTAGAACATTAATTTGGGATTTTAGTTAGAAAATGGATCAGTGTCATAATTTTACCTTCAAAGCTGGATGGTCTAATAAATATAAACCTCAACTAATAATAGTACCTTTTTAAAGGAAAAGTTTCTGAACTTTTACAGAAATGGAAATTTTCTCTGTTTGATAAAATAGTGGATAATATTAAACTGGCTTTTATAAATTAGCAGTAAGAAACTTGGGATTGCTGCTACAAAGTTTAAAGTGAGAACTCCACAAGTTTTTTAAAGGAACCAATTTTCTTTAAGTATCTGAAAGCTTTTGCAGTGACATCAGAGTGGTTTATTAAAATGTGGTAGGATTATCTTGTCTTTTGTTGATTGTCTAGATGAATAATAGCTCAAAGGTAATAGTCTTTAATATTGTCAAGTAGGTGATATATTTTAACTAACAGAACTTTCATTTGTGAAATCAGTTTATCATTCACTTTTTACATAGCTAAGCACTATTACTAAAGATGGGGAATTAAGTCACTTAACAGATTCATTTATATTTTTCTTGTATTATGAAAAGATCTTGTGTCAGCTACTGCTTAGTAGAGAACCACTTTAGAAAAATTAATTTCTGTTCTTAGAAGGTCTTATTCTGGCCATGAAATAAGATACAAACAAAACACAGACATATTGCAAAGTGTAAATAGATATCTCACTTAAAGAGTATAGAAGAGTAATTTTAGAGTAACATTGGACCCTAGAGATCACAGGCAATTTTTAGGTCCTAAAGATGAGGCAATTTAGTTGGAAAGATAATCACATAGCTGGTCAGTAACAGATTGTCTTTTAGTCTAGCAAACTTTTCACCATTTGTTTCTGTGCCTAAAGATGAAGAGAGTTGGATTGATGGGATGGGAATATGTTTTTAAAAGCTTGTTTAACATTGGGAAAATGTTAACTTCCAAGAATACTTATAATTGAAAGCATATTGTATACCTATATTCATTGAGAACTTTAAAAAGGGAATTCTGTTAATGACAGCATATCTCATCTTTGGAATAACATTTCTTCAAGATATAGAGTAGTCAGTTTCTTGCTATATGATTGTCTTTTGTGGTTATTTTTAAAGGAAGTCAAAGTATTTGAGGAGTGGTTATTTATTACTTCAATATTTATTTTTAAAGGCATGAGTAGCTTGTAACTTTGTTTTTAAATTTTCCTGTTAAATACAGGTTATAGACTTTTACTAGCAGTTAATCTGTATTTACATAAAAGTGATGTTCAAATAATATCGCAGATAACTCATTGAACACATCTATTATATTGAACTAAATTAAACCTTTCTGTAGATGCAGAAATTAATTATTTAGATGAAATCCTAGGATATACAGGCAATTTACATGAAAGCTTGTTTGGAGGTTCTAGCAAGAGAATCTACCTTCTCTTGAAGAATATCTTTCTGAATGTGAAAAATTCAGTGTCTTGAATTAAGAGCTTCACTTTGGAAGTGATGCACATGGAAAAGGAAGGAAGCCAGAATCAAGCCAAGTCATCCTCACATCTAATTTGTAGAGCAGATAAATGTGTTATGAAGATCTTGGTGGTTGATTTATGGCCCTGAAAGTCATGATGATATGCCGTCCTGTCAATTGCTTAGTTTCTCAGTTTGTAATCTGGGAAATCTTTTCATTATCTTTTGGGTAAAAGTCCTTGTGGATAGTGTGCCCTACCTATAGCAGGAGTTCCAAGGATTTAGTGCCCACCCTTCTCTGCTTAACCTAACTCTAGTTTTCTAGTTTTTCTGTCTCTGTTTTCTCTCCTCCAAAACAGGGCTTTTTAAATACTCTTTGGTTTTCAACAGCTCTACTTTGAAACATCCTACAAGTTATTTTCTTCAGCCACCTGAAACTAAAGAGAAGATTTAAAATAACATTACAGAAAAGCAAACCATGTCCTATGCCAAAGTCCTGGACCCTTGTACATTTCCTTAAAACGGAAAATCTTCTTGTTCATGGACAACCTATGCTTTATCTTTCTCTGTGGTTACCTATTTGGATTACCACTATAGGTGGTTGCCATTGGCTAATACAATGTTGTATTTTCCCTTGCCTATTTCTCTGACTTCTGTTTCCCATATTGTCTTTTTAGAGAGACTTAAACTCACCACAGAATCTTGGTGATACTCTTTCCTTAAGATTCTTTCCAGTGTGTAGTACTTCATTTCTTGAGGGAAGTCTGGCAGCTGTAGCTCTCATTTTGAAATTATAGAATGATCCCAGATAATAGAAGTCAAGGAAAATGAGTTGAAGTTAGAAACATTTGAGGAAGTAACTTTAGAATGGTTGATGATGGGAGTAAAGTTGGATTAGGGAGTAAGTTTGGAAGATTTCTCTAGATTCCAAAGCAAGTAATGTGAAGAATTTAACTTTGCATCTCATTCCTACTTCATTTTGTGATGCAAGGAGAGCTTGGTCCCTGTAACTGCTTGTATGATTACAGTAATAACAGTAGTAATAATTAACACTTATTTTGAATTTAGTATGCACTAGACTCTTTGCTACTTGCTGCACATACATGATCACATCTAATCCTTACAACAGTACTATCCAGTAGGTACTATCGTTATTTTCAATTTACAGAAGAGGCCCAGACTCATAAAGTGAACCTAAGTCATTTTTTCAAGATCCCATAGCTAGAAAGTGATCTAGTTCAGGTCCACCGGACTCAAAGCCCATGTTCTTAACCACCAGTCACCCTGCTTCCCCTCCAAACGGCTAACAAATTGATGACATGAAAAGTGCCCTAGAGACAAACTATATTGAGGCATTATATCAGGAAATTTTTAGTTAAAAGAAGAGAGGGAGCAGAAGAAAGTGATGGAGAGAGATTAAGAGGGAGAAGTCTGTAGATTTCTATTTGTAAGTAGCAAAATTTTATTTTATTTTTAATTTTTTATTGCTTTTTTTGAGACGAAGTCTCACTCTGTCACCCAGGCTGGAGTGCAGTGGCACGATCTCGGCTCACTGCAAGCTCCACCTCCCGGGTTCACGCCATTCTCCTGCCTCAGCCTCCCGAGTAGCTGGGACTACAGGTGCCTGCCACCATGCCCGGCTAATTTCTTTGCACTTTTAGTAGAGAGGGGGTTTCACCGTGTTAGCCAGGATGGTCTCCTGACCACATGATCCTCCCACCTCGGCCTCCCAAAGTGCTGGGATTACAGGCGTGAGCCACCGCACCGGCTGCAAAATTTTATTTTTAAAGAGACATTGAATTATATAGTTATTAGAATAAAGATTTATAGATGCATTTGTTTTTATTTATATAAAGAAAAATATATTTGTGCAAAATATTTGATGTTTGTAATCTATCATGCAAACACTAGCAGACTGTTATCAAAACTATTGCTATAAAAAGATAATTGGATTTTTTTAAATTTAAGTTTTTGTGTTCATTGCATTTAAGATTATCTGTGTTGTGCTGATTTATAAATTTAATTTTTCAACAAATATTTATTGAGTGCCTACTGTGAGCCAAGTAAGCACTGTGTCAAGTGTTAGAGATTGATCTAAAATAAGACAAAATTCCTGCCTTAGTGATCTTACCGCCTAATATGTGAAATAATCAAGTAAAGAAATACTTTTGAGGAGAAGTAAGCACAGGGTCCTGTGCCAACAGAGGGACTAGCTGTTGGGATCATACATGGGTTTCTGGAAGAGGCCTTTAAAACACCCTGAATAATGAATAGAAGTTACCTATCATGACTTGTAGGATTTCTGTTGGTTGATTAATAATAAGTACATCACTAGAAATACTAGGGGGCGATTTTTAAAAATTCAAATGCTTACATCTTCCCCTAAAGATTTTGATTATTCAGTTTGTGGGGAGGCTAGACATGAGTATTTTTTAAAAGCAGTCAAGTTACACTAATGTTCTGCCATGGTTTGGAACCACTCAGATATTATCTCAGACATTGGTCCTAAAATGGTGCTTGCTGACAAGAACACTTCTTGATGTTGCTGTAGAGAAGTAATTACTGAGGAAGGGAGGATTTAAAGTAAATAATTAAATCATGATGAAAAAAGCACTTATTTCAAAATATGAAAGCAAATCTTTCTACAAGAAGATTAAACAACTTTCCTAGGGAAGACTAGTCATACTAGACAACTAAAGAAAGTATTAAGATGTCTCTCATATTCCACTTAAAAATACTGAGTGTAGAAAATGTTTCCTGTGAGACTAATATTCAGAGTCCTGTATAGAATTCTTTTTTTTTACAGAGTCCTGCTCTGTCACTCAGGCTGGGGTGCAGTGGCTCAACCTCAGCTCACTGCAACCTTCACCTCTTGTGTTCAAGTGATCCTCCTGCCTCAGCCTCTCTCAAGTAGCTGGGATTATGGGCATACACCACCATGCCCAGCTAGTTTTTGTATTTTTAGTAGAGATGAGGTTTCACCATGTTGGCCAGGCTGGCCTCGAACTCCTGGCCTCAGGTGATCCACCCACCTTGGCCTTCCAAAGTGCTGAGATTACAAGCATGAGCTACCATGCCCAACCATAGAAATATTAATACTAATATAACCTATGCACAATAGAACATTTGGTCATGAACGGATACATAGTTAGCCAAATCTGAAAGATTACAAGTTTTTCATGAGTTCTTAACTGGAAGAGAGCAAACAAATGACAGTTAAAGGGGAGCTTTATAGATGAGAATGGTTGGGTAGGTGGTTATGCATTATTAGTGAATATAGGATGCTAATTGATTTTATTTATTTATAAAGTAAACAACACATTGTATACCTTTTTTGAAGTATCCTTATGAAGAGGAGAAAAGAATTATGGTGGTGGGGTTTTTTTTTCTGTTTTTTTAAATAGAGAAAGGTTTAGAATTCAATTGGTGACATTTATTAATGCTTAACTAGAAGCGCAGGAAGGTTCCCGTGTGCTATTTAAGCGACTGTATTAGACAAATAGGATGTTAAATGGCAAGATATTTCTAGTGTCTAGTCCCTTTCATTTAGTTTGATTTTATTGTTAAGACTATGATCCAGACTCATTAAGTAAATTAAGTAAATTTTCCAAACTAACACCACTAGTTAAAGATAGAATAGGACTAGATTTGAGGCTTTTTGACACCTAGATTGGTGGTGCCCTTGCCATTATAGTTCACTATATTACCTTTATTTTTCAGAATTTTATTGTTCTTGCATTTTCAAGTCTAGTTTTATTTTACTTTTTAAAATTTTATATCGCAATTTGTCTCCTGAAGGTCAAGTAACCTGGTTTGGTTATGAAAGTCCTCGTAGCTTCTGGGACTATATCAGAGTGGCTTGCCGGAAAGTTTCACAGAATTGTATCTGCAGCATTGAAAATATGGAAAATGTCAGTTCTTCTAGAGCTAAGGTAAGACATTGGTCAGAGACTCGTTTCTATTTTTTTTTTCATTGCATGTATTTGGAATAGCAGGAAGGTGTGAAGCTACTTACTATGAATTTCCTTTTCTTAAGAAGCATAATAAAATACGTCCTGTTCTGTGATGTTTCTACATTTCTTGAATTATCTAAACTAGTGGCTCTCAAATAATGTTCAGCAGAACCCTGAAGATGTCCAAGACCCTTTCTTTAATGGGTACAAAATGTCAAAAATATTTTTATATAATATCAACCTGTTATTTGCCTTTTCGCTGTGTTGATATTTGCACTGCCAATGCAGACACAATGGTGGATAAAACTGTTGGAACCTTAGCACGAATTAATGCAGTGACATCAAACTGTGCAAGCAGTCTTGAGTTCTTCCCCACCATGCACTCAGTATTTTCTTTTAAAGGCAGTTTCAACTTAAGAATGACCATGATGGTGCGGGAAACATTAATTCTTATTAAATCTCAACTTTGAGGATCTGTCTTTTTAATATCCTGAGTAATAAAATGGGAAGTATGCATAAAGCATTTCTGCAGCATACTGAAATATGATGGTTGCTTCAAGAAAAACACTTGTACAATTCTTTGAATTGTGAGCTGAACTAGATACTTTTTAATGTAATATGATTTTACTGAAAAGAAAAACTTATAAACATAATTTTTTGGACTTAGGCATTTGACAGATATTTTCTCAAAAAAAGAAGAAAGAAGTGAGCCTATTACTTCAAGGAAACAGCTGACAGTATTTGTTGCCAATGGTGAAATTAAAGCTTTTAAGTAAAAACTAGAATTTTAGAAACTTGTGTTCACCATCTTAAGCTTCATAGCTTCCCAATATAGAAAAGCTTTTTTAAAACATTGATGTTGATATCAACAAATGTATTTTTAAATTATTTAATGAAATGTGTCAACATTTGATGGAACTGCATAACTTGTATTTTCCAAATGATCAGTTCGTGGAATTACAAAATCATGTATGGGTAAAAAGATCAATTCAAAGTGCAAGGTAGGTCAGTAGATTTAATGTACTATAGTATGAAAAAGTCATTAATATGATTACAGAAACTTACCATTTAGTGAGTTTTGATCTAGAACAAAAGAAAATATCTACACTTATCTGAAAAGACTATTAAAAGATTCCCTTTCCAACCATATATCTGTGTGAAGCTAGATTTTCTTCATATACTTCAACCAAAACAACACATTGTTACAGATGGAATGCAGAAGCAGATATCTAATTATCTTGTAAAGACACTAAAGAGATTAGAAAAAAATGTAAAACAGAGATACTGGCCGGGCGCGGTGGCTCACGCCTGTAATCCCAGCACTTTGGGAGGCCGAGGCAGGCGGATCACGAGGTCAGGAGATCGAGACCATCCTGGCTAACATGGTGAAACCCCGTCTCTACTGAAAATATAAAAAATTAGCCAGGCGTGGTGGTGGGCACCTGTAATCCCAGCTACTTGGGAGGCTGAGGCAGGAGAATGGCGTGAACCCAGGAGGCGGAGCTTGCAGTGAGCAGAGATCGCGCCACTGCACTCCAGCCTGGGCAAAAGAGCGAGACTCTGTCTCAAAAAAAAAAAAAAAAAAAAAAAAAAAAAACAGAGATACTTTTCTCACTAATTTTTTTTTAGGAAAAATAGTTATTTTTCATAAAAATGTGTTATTTATGTTAACAGGTAATGGGTTTATTGTTTTATTTTATTTTATTTTATTTTATTTTTTAGGGACAGGGTCTTGCTCTGTTGCCCAGGTTGGAGTACAGTGGTACTATCATAGCCCACTGCAGGCTAGAACCCCTAGGCTCAAGTGATCCTCCAACCTCAGCTTCCTGAGTAGCTGGGACTACAGGGGCATGCCACCATGCCTGGCAAATGTTTTAAATTTTTTGTAGAGATAATATCTCTCTTTGTTGCCCAGGCTAGTCTAGAAATCCTGGCTTCGAGCAGTCTTTCTGCTGCAGCCTCCCGAAGTGCTGGATTACAGGCGTTGAGTCACCATGACCAACTCATTATTTTTGAATTACCTAATATTTAAGTTTCCAGTTTTGACTTGTGATACAGTAAATTTGGTAGATATAGCCTACATAAAACTTCCTTGGGGTCCTCAGTAATTTTTAGGATTATAAAATGTCTGAACTATTAAGTCAAATGGATCGAACATCCCAAAACTGAAAATGTGAAATCTCAAATGATCTCAAAACTAAAACTTTTTGAGCATCACCATGATGTTCAAAGAAAATGCTAAATGGACCATTTAATGCAAATATTCCAAAATCAGAAAATACTCAAAATCTGAAATACTCTTGTCCCAAGCATTTTGGAAAAGGTATACTCAACAGAAGGTTGAGTATACCTAACTAACTCAACTAACTCACTCAACTCAGGTATCAAATAACTAACTCAACTCAGGTATCAGCTTTAATGTAGTAGTTGTATTTATTTTTATTGAATTGTCAGAGTAGCTTTATTATTTTGACATTTAGAAATTACAGAATGAAACATTAAGTAGAAAATAAAGATTGAAAATTGATATTTACAGTTTTAAGATGAAGACATAATTCATTATTTCACGATTATAGAATTATAAATTATGTGTCTATGTAATAACCGAAAGTATAACAATTATCTTTCCAAATTATAATTTCCAAGTTTTTTGTTCTTGCATCCTTTTTATTTAGGATTTTTTTTTTCTTTTGGAAAATTTTTGTTCAGCAAAACTGATGAAGATATGTTCAAATTAAATATTTTGTAAGCACGAACTGAGTATATGTTTTAAAAACCAAAATCTATAATGTTTAAATGTAGTGACATAATTAGAAACACAGGTAAAACATTTTTAGCTCCTTAATATGAAAGTACACTTTTGGATACAGTTAATAGCTATGATTTTTGTCACCTTTTTGAGACTATAACTATAAAGTTCACTTGTTAAAGCCACTGCTCCCTCCTGCCAATCTTCAACCAAGGGGTTGTAGCAACAAGGAACTTCCTGCTTCAATATCTTTCAACTCTCTCAGGTTGGATCAGTTTTCTTCTCTGTCTCACGTATTTAAGCCAGTAAATTTCTTCATTTGTAAATTAATTATAGATTTTCTTTTTTTAATTAAATTTTTCCCTCAGATATTTAAATCCTATTGTTATTACATATTAACAGATGTCTTTTTTGTCCCAACTATTGTCCTTTGACCTCTGTTTCCTCAAACTACTGAATTTTTAATTCATTTACTTACTTTTTAATTTTTGAACTATAGATTTTTAAAATATGCAGTGTGAATTCCCCTTTGCATCTTAGGTGAGCTTTATCAGTTTTTTCTTTTTTTTTTTTTTTTTTTTTTTTTTTGGTTTTTTTTTTTTTTTTTTTTTTTTTTGAGACAGTCTAGTTCTGTCGCCCAGGCTGGAGTGCAAAGGTACGATCTCAGCTCACTGCAACCTCCACCTCCCAGGCTCAAGCAATTCTCCTGCCTCAACCTCCTGAGTAGCTGGGACTACAGGCATGTGCCACCACACCTGGCTAATTTTTGTATTTTTAGTAGATACAGGGTTTCACCATATTGGCCAGGCTGGTCTCGAACTCCTGAGTTCAAGTGATCCGCCTGCCTCAGCCTCGCAAAGTGCTGGGATTATAGGCATGAGCCACAGCACCCAGCCTCAGTTTTCCTTTTATGTTTTCTTTATGGCTTAAGAATTATATCTACATTTCTTTTGGCTAAGGTTTAGGCTAAGGTTAAAGATTAGCTGTAATTTGAATGAATCAAATCTATAAAAAGTATTCTAGATGCTACATAAACATTCTCATTTTCAAATCAAAAGTAGGAGAGAGGAACATAACAGTGTATTCTAAACCCTTTCAATAGAGGGGAGGATATATTTATAAAACTAGCATATCCCAAAATACAAAAAGTAATTAAGAAGTTAACAAAGTTTAGAAATGTAGCATTTGGACCTGGGTGGACCAAAGAAACCCAAACCCTAGCTGACCAACTCTCTTAACAAGGCTCTTGGAACTAATCCCTGCACAGCAATATGTTATCTAGCAGAGAGTTAATATTTATTCTGTGAAGTACTGGTATTGAGAATCAAAACACCACAGAACAATCATGTTCCAAATCCTGCATTTATATCTTTGTTTTGCTCAGGCCTCAAACAGATTCCATTTAGTGGGGAAAGAGAATTATTTGAGTTGCCTAGTTATGCTGGGAAGAGTCTGTGGAGAAAGATTACCTCTCTTTATTCATTGCAATGAAAAGAGCAGTTTACTTAATCTACTCAGTAAGTCACATCTCACGTCTCTGGATTGAAGGATTAAACAAATGCCTCAGATGGTAGGTTTATTGAGGCTTACAGCTGCAATCTTGAATGACTACTAGCATAGTGTCATTTTGCCTTGACACATGTGAAAAGATATTTCAGACCAGAAGCACTAAATTTGCCTGGTGAACAGTATACAGTATACAAGTACACTTGTATCACAATTATATCACAATTATCTGTCCTGATACCACTTAGATTCATATTGTAGAAGCTTGTCACCATGGACAATCTCATACTTTTGTCTAGGTTAAGATCAATGGGCCAGGCGTGGTGGCTCATGCCTGTAATCCCAACACTTTGGGAGGCTGAGGCAGGTGGATCACCTGAGGTCAGCAGTTCCAGACTAGCCTGGCTAACATGGCAAAACCCTGTCTCTACTTAAAATATGAAAAATTAGCCAGGAGTGGTAGCGCATGCCTGTAATCCCAGCTACTTGGGAGGCTGAGGCAGGAGAATCGCTTGAACCCAGGAGGCAGAGGTTGCAGTGAGCCGAGATCATGCCATTGCACTGCAGCCTGGGCAACAGAGCGAGACTCCATCTAAGAAAACAAACAAAACAACAACAACAAAAAAAAACAATGAAATGCTAACCATTCCCTTTCTCTGCTGTCTGTGACTAGTTTAGCCATAAGACTTAAACATAGCCTAACAATAGAATAAAATATTTGAGTTGAGGATCATGTTTGTAATCTTTGTGTCTTCAGTACTTTTGCAGCTATTATTTCTGTCATATGCAGGTGTTATGGAACATGAGACTTTTATTACATAAATTACTTAGGTTTCACACTAGAATCAGCACTCTTAGAAAAATGACTTTATCTCAGCAGGCACTGACTTATCTCATTCTTTTCTGAACTCACCCATCTTCCGCATCTGCTCTTGGGTCATATGCTCTTATAAACATATTATATGATCCCTGAAAAAAACCACTCCCAATTGAATCTTTAGTTACCACTGTTACTAACCTTGCAGATATTTACATTGGGTTTTCATGATATTCCAACTGATTTCAAGTTCAAGAAATCCCTTCTCCTTCTTGCTTTTTCATTTTCTTGGCCCCAAAATATGAGCTTTGTATTGTTCCTGAGTTCTTCCTGTCTTCTTGTATATTTTGTGAGGGATTGTCCCCCCATTTTCTTTGTTTTTAATAGCAGTTCTTGTTTTTAGCTAGATTTGGCTTTCTTAGGTTTCTGGTTGCTTATCCTGTACATTCCTTCATTGTTTAATTAGACCAGTTTCAGAATATGCTAGTTACATCAGCCATCCACATATCCATGCATCTTTCCATCCAATAAATTTGCTGTGCAAATACTGACCAGGCTAAGCAAGCTGAAGAATACAAGATATGGCCATGATTAAAAGTCAGATATTATTCTCAGTGCAGTGGGGGAGCTACTTGAGAGTTTTTTTTTTAAGTGATAGAATACTGTAATCTGATTTCCATTTTATAAGATCAGCTTGGTGCTGTAGGGATAATAAATTGAAGGGAGGAGTAGAAGCAGAGAATTTATTGAGAAGGGTGTAATTGGAATCTAAAACAGAGTCGATCCCAAAGGTAAGAAAACAATCAGGTTCCAGTGATAACAGAATATCTTGTATCAGAGGGACCTACTGCTGAGAACAACTATAAAAGTTGAATAAAATATGTGAAGTAACAAATTTAAGATATAAGGGAGCAACCAAGGCATGAGAACTTGAGTGGCCACAGTCCTGGAGAGATGGATATTACACGAGCTGAGCCGCACATCCATCTTTGCTTTAGCCTAAAGTTGTTTGTCTATTCACATCCTAGGTATAGAGACTAAGCAGAAAGTTGTGGAGGTGGAGATTTTTATTTCCTTGGGCAGACAAACAGAAGTTGGAGCTTGGAACTGCCACTGAACAACAGACAAATGTGCCTGGAGTTGTGCATGCAGTTTTCCTATGGGGTTGTTGCCAACTCTAAGTCATCTGTAGCTCAAAGCAAAGTCCCATAAACAAAGCTGAAAGCAGCAGGGAAGAGGTAAAACTGCTGATTGATGATTTCACAGTCTAGTTCTGGAGAGATAGAGGTTAGAGTTCAAGGGCAAGCAAGGTGAAGGGGAACTGTAAACACTCCAGGTTTTTACTTGAGACCCCTGAAAGACAATATCTTTGGAGTAAGGGAAATTCAGAAGATTAATACAAAAAAAGGCCTAAAAGTAGTCCCCTAAATTGTGAGGTGATTTTCTAGTACTCTGACTGACTGCCAAAAGAAAAATCTACTCTGGAGAAAGGTAGCCTCAGAGTTGCTATAAATTTTCATACAGAATGTCTAGTATACAGTAAAAAATCATCAGGCACATCAAGAAACAAGATTGAATGACTGAAATCAAGAAAAATGAAAAAGACAATTGAAACAAACCTATGGGTGATAGAGACTTTGGACTTTTAAGCAATTATAATAGGTTCAAGAAAATGGAAATAAATATGAATATTACTAGACAACTGAAATACATAAAATTACTAGATTATTGGAATATGTTAAAATTCAAAGGCCGGGTGTGATGGCCTTTAATCCCAGCACTTTGGGAGACCAAGGTGAGCAGATCACTTGAGCTCAGGATTTCAAGACCATTCTGGGCAACATGGCGAAACCCAGTCTCCACAAAAAATACAAAAATTAGCCAGGTGTGGTGGCACGCACCTGTAGCCCCAGCTACTCAGGAGGCTGAGGTGGGAGGGTCACTTGAGCTTGTGAGGCAGAGGTTGCAGTGAGCTTAGATCGCACCACTGCACTCCAGCCTGGGTGATAGAGCAAGACCCTGTCATAAAATAAAATAAAATAAATAAATAAAATAAAATAAAATAAATACTGCAAAATATACATTCTTATCATACACCCAGTGGAGTTATATTAAATTGACCATTTTCTGAGCCATAGTTTATCTCAGTGAATTGCAGAGGATTGAAATTGTGTAAAGTATGTTCTCTAACCACAGTGGAATTAAGCTAGAATCAAAAATATGGAAAAATGACTAGAAAATGTTTATATGAGTGAAACTGAGGAGAACTTCTAAATAACCCATGGATGAAAAAATAAATCACAATTGAAATTGAAAAATATTTGGAAAGTACTGATAATGAAAATATAACATATAAAAACTTGTGCTTAGAGGAATAGGCTTAAATAGGCTTTTGTGTATTTTAAAAAAGAATAGAGGCTGGAAATTGGTTACCAAAACTTTCATCTCAAGAAGCTATGAAAAAAGAAATACATTAAAGTCAAAGTAGAAGGAAAGAAATAACAGTAAAAATTCAATAAAATTGAAACAAATATATAAGAAAATCAACCAAACTAAAAGTGTTTTTAAAAAGATTAATGCAGTTGATAAGCTTCTAGCAAGACTATTCAAGAAGATCAAAAGATAATATAAATTACCGATATGAGGAATGAAGAAGAGGCCAAGTGTGTATATCTCACAGACATTAAAAATCCTAAAAGAGGATATTATGAATAACTTCACATCTATTATATAAATTTGAAAATTTAGAAGAAATGGGAAATTTCTTTTAAAAAATTACTCACCAAAACTAACACGAAAAGGATGGAAATATCTGGATATGTGATATTTTTGCTAAAGAAATGTAATCTATAGTTAAAAATCATCCCATTGCAAGCCCATTTTTAAATTGTTTTCTTCTTATGGGTTTTTAAGAGTTAATTGTATTTTATGGATAAGAGTTGTCTGTCAGATATTTATAATTTAATTTTAATTTTCCCACTCTGTGCTTTTTTTTCTTTTTTTAAACTCTCTTAAATGCTGACAGCTCATTCCCTGAAACAGGAAAGAAGGTGGAGTGTATAGGTATTAACATAATTAGGCTGGTCAGTTTGGTGGTGGTAAAATGAATTTCTTCTCTTCTAATTGTGTCTGTTTTTCATTTGTGCATAAAGTAGGGATAGTATTGTAACCTAACTCACACAATTATTGGGAGGATTACTTATCTTCTTAATGTATATAAAGCTCTAAAACAGGGCTTAGCACATATTAATTACATTTTTAAATCTTGATTACTTTTACTTATTTTTTCATAAACCTTCATTTTATGGATCACCCTTATCAACTGAAAACATCTAAATTCCTTAATCTAGTTTTTAAGTTGTTCTACTTCTTGGCCCAAACAATCTTTATAAGTCTGTTTGTCTTCTGTTCTATTAAAAGTTCCTTTGTTAAAGAAAAGAAACCATTAAAATTAGCACAACTTATCCTTATAATATAACAGGATTCCATACACATTCAAATACAGGAAACTAAATGCAGCCCAGTTTTGTATGGATTGAAATTAATAAATCAGGAAGCAAGATTTTCCCTACATTTCTTATCTAGTAACAGCATAGTCTCCTGTGCTGAATTGTCTCTGGAGAGCAACTTTCTTGACTTCATTGGTGAAATTGTAGCCTTTTGATTCAAGACACCGCTACTAGTTTCTGTGTCTTTTAGATGAAATTTCAAGAGAGAATTTTGAGACTACTGGCCAGCCAGTAGCTTGCCTCTTCCTTCCTCTGTTCCAATCAGCTACAGCTAACTGCAGGTTCCCCTAGGCTTACTCAGAAGGAACAATGGACTGAGCACAGGGCAAGCTAAAAGGGATGTTGAGCTTGGTAGGTAAATTGACTCGCATGCTAACCATACCCTTATCATTCATTTTCTTCCCAGTAGTACTGCTGCTTCTAGCCTGACAGGTTTTAACTACTGCCTATATTGACTCCTTTGTGACCTTTCCTATCCCATAGTTTGGTGAATTCACTAGACTTGCAGACATTTCTAGAGTATGTTTTTTCCCTTTCTGGTAGTTGACAATCATATATATTGATTAGTGTCACCTTTATACTGCCATTGCAGTGTTTCAATTTTCTATGTATTTAGTCTTCATGAAGTTTTTTAGAGATTTGTGAAAGAGTTGAGTGAAAATGAAAATAATTGATTTATGAAGTTCTTACTACAAATATGATCTCTTATATTCTTTAGTTCTAAATAGAAAGTCCGTAAGAAAATTAATTACTTTTAGTAAGAATTGTCTGTTTCTGTGATTCTGTGCTAGAATATGCTGGCTTCTGTTTTTTGTTGTTGTTGTTTGTTTTTCTAGTTTAAATATTTGGTAATAGCTTTTAGAATTCTCTGGGGACACCCAAATTCAATAGCTCATGATTTGGATTCATTATATATAATGAAATTTGGATTTTATTACTAGTTGTATAAAACCTCCCACTGAAAGGATAGGATTGAAAATTTTCTTAAATAAGTGATGTTAGACTGATTATTTTCATTAATGAGAGAGAACTCTGTTTTTCATGATTTATGAGAGGGCTCATTTTAATTAGTTTGTTGATTTGCGGTATTGAAGTAGAGAGTTATATCTTATATAATTACATCATGTAATTCAAAAGAAGTCTCTAACCCAAGTAACTCAGTATTAACGTTCTGTCCCTTCAGAGGATAGAAAGTTAGTTTGACATGCTGTACCCTACATATTCAGAGAAACAAAATATATACTCTAGATAATCAAAATTTACCTATTTTTATCTACTTAAACATTTTTCTTAGTCGTTATCAAATGTATATTTTGAATGGCTGTTCTTTACATATTAAAATATTTTTGATGGCACAGTGGCAAAATATTTTTTTAATTTTTTTTATATTTGATTCTTTCTTCTTCCTTTTAGGGTAGAGCCTGGATCAGAGTAGCACTCATGGAAAAACATTTATCTGAATACATCTCTACAGCTCTGAGAGACTTCAAAACAACCAGGTTTAAAAGTCCTTTTAATTTTCTAATATATATTTGAAAGAATCACCTGAAGACTCAGAAATCAGAATAGGATGAAGAATCAATTTCTAAAATCCTCAACTGTTTTATTTCCTCCTTTTGTTACTACTCAGATAAATCCACTGTCTTCTTAGGAAAATGTAATTTGTCAACTAAACATACATCTACCTTTCTGTAAAAAGATACACATTACGCCTGGAATATCCTTTTTCTAAATCATTTCTGATTCATACTCTTTCAACTCTTGAAGCTTCATTCTCCCCATAGACTATTCCCTGATGGATTTGAATTTAAGTATGAAATTTCAATAGCATCTTTTTTCTTTTCACCTCAGTATTTCCTTATTTTTTTGCTTGTAAAGAATATACATTGGCCGGGCACGGTGGCTCACACCTATAATCCCAGCACTTTGGGAGGCCGAGGCTGGCAGATCACCTGAGGTCTGGAGTTCAAGACCAGCCTGACCAACATGGATAAACCCCGTCTCTACTCAAAATACAACATTAGCCAGGCATGGTGGTGCATGCCTGTAATCCCAGCTACTCGGGAGGCGGAGGTAGGAGAATAGTTTGAACCCAGGAGGCAGAGGTTGTGGAGAGCCGAGATTGAGCCATTGCACCGCAGCCTGAGCAACAAGAGAGAAACTCTGTCTCAAAAAATATATATATATAAAATTAATAATTTACTTATTTAATTCATATGTATAATTAGTTATTGCTTATCTTTTTAGAACAATCTAAACCATTGTTTTTCTTGGATTGTATAAAGATGACATCCTGTGCCATGTGAAAAATAGGACTTTGTTGATTTTTTATGATGGTAGAAAAGGGTACATATTAGGACAACAGTCATTCCTAATTAGCACTCATCTGCTGATCTTTATTTGTAAAGCCACTTTTCTTCAAATCAAAAGTATTTGTAAATGAAAAGATTTAATAATTTTAATAACTTAGACATAAACTGTTTAATGTAGCCACTAACACATGCCATGTATAAATTTAAATTAATTAATATTACATAAAATTGCAAATTTAGTTTCTCAAGTGCTGTATCACATTTCAGATGTCCCATTGCCACATGTAGCTAATGGTAACCCAATTGGACAGATTTAGAGTGTTTTCCTCATCACAGAAGGTTCTATTGGTCGGAGCTGCCTGAGATATTTCTAAACTACCGTTCTTTTTTCTACCTCATTAATCATATTTCTGAAAGAAAAGAAAATAATTACAACTATAAACTAGTTTTGATAGAAAAAAATAAGCACAAAGAAATCATATCTCTGAGATCTTAACTTCCATATCCTAATACAGGGTTTGACATTCTGGATTTTGAGAAAATCTGGGCATTTATTATGACACATTCTTTCAACTAACTAGCTGGTACTAATTAAGTATCTTTATTTAGTTGCCTCTATCTTTATTGGTAATATAATAGTAAACTTTTAATTTTGAGATACAAAGAAAATAATTGTCATGATTGTAAGTTTGACCAGGATAGAAAGACTTTTGGCTGAAAGAAATATTTGCATAAAGTAAATCTGATATATACTTATTTAACTTCTTTTCAAGCAACATGACACTCGAGATATTTCTAAAGATAAACAGTGAGATGATGATAAAACCTTAGACATTTGAAATGAACTTTATAAAATGAAACATTTATCATTACTAAGTTTCATTATGAAACTTGATAAGCATTGAGGATACTAAGGCTTTGAAAATGAAAACAAAGAATCGTATCAGAATCGAGTAGCTCAAATCTAAAAATCCTACATTAATTAAATCAAAATCAAGTTTGCATAGTAATCATTTCCTATGCAAGTAGAATATTGAATCAAAGTTATGATAGTCTTTTCCAAATAGAAATTAAATAATTAATAATCTCTCTAAATTGTTAGTCTTGTTTCTTAGTTTAAATGATTGGGTGGGGTAGAAATAATTCTTCAATAGATTATTTTTAGAACAAGTAGTTTAAATATTTAAAGGAAATGCTTTCTGCCTTGTTCTTAAGTGTTAACCATGCTTTTTCATAGAAAGGAAATGATTCAGCTCTAAAAAAGTACATGAAGTAAAAATATTCCTGTAACCATACATAAACATACAGTCTTCAAACAGAAACATGGCTTGGCGTACAATGTCATATATATGTATCTGATACATAGATATATGCACACATACATATAATATTTACACATACACATTTATCGAATAATAGGATTTAAATGTGAATATAATGGCTTTGGAACTCTTAAGAAAGGAAGTAAGTAGGGAGTTATTTCAAAGTTTTTATCTTAGAAGTTAACTAAAAAATGCGGCAAAAAAATCTTATTTTTCTCCCCCTATTTACACTAATTTTTTTTACTGAGATGAAACCAAAGAAATTCTTAATTCTAATTAAATTTGATTGCAAACTTCTAGTCAAGACAAATATATTCATAAGATTAGATTTGTAAAATACAAACAATTAGAAAGAGTATTTGTACCTTACCTTTTATCTGGTTGCTTCCTGAAGTGAGTACTCCTAGGAGAATGAGAAATGATCTCTAATCTTTAGGAATCTGGAGAATATCTGAATAAAGTAGATTTCTTCATGTTCTACTCTTCACAGGTAAAGAGTAATGATAGCCTTTAAAATGGTAATACAAGTGTTTATCCCAGTACCAGAGGAGGAGCTACATGAACTAAGGCAGGCAGGCTTGAAAGCACTAATCAGTGAAAACCCAAGGATAAGTTTGGGTGGAGGAAGGGTGGGAGTAGAGATAAAATAAATTTTGAGTACATGACTATGGCTCCAAAGCATTGAAGAAATATGTGTGATCTTTTTGCTAAGGTGTAGGACGTCTTAATGAGCAGTTGAAAAAACAAACAAAAACCTCGAAGAGTTACATGGCTTAGGGATTGGGGTATAATTGAAAAATAGCCAGAGTTGAGAAGTTTAGCCAGAATAGGCAGAATGAAGATTAGAATCTAAGCTAAAAAAAAAAAAAAAAAAGAGAGAGACTTCTTTTGGTAGGTTACTGGGAAGACCTTCAAATGAGAAGTGAAGTAAAAATTGAATTAATTTGTTCAAATTTTTAATTTCTCTTTATCCACTGGCTAAAAAATAATTAGTAAATTTCAATTTAAAATACCATATGATATTTCAAACAAAATTGAAAATGTAACAAGAATTTGAAGTAATAAGTATGGAAAATATAAAGATAAATTAGCTTTATGGAAATTCATTTGTTTACTTTGCAATTATATCAGTATTTAATTTATAATGAAAAAGTTGTGTTCCAAAGAAATGTTAATTTTCACAATGTTTTAGCACAAATTGAAGGAAGGAGTAAAGTATAAAATAAAACTTTGTAAATGACTGAGCTGTCACAGAGAGAAAAAATGAGTTGACAAATACTTTTCTCAATTACAGAAAAGTAGACAGAATAGTGATAAGTAACCAAAATCTTTTAAGAGTTAAGAATGCATTTTGGAATCTGTGTATGTATTGTGGGATCTGGCCAGCAGCCTGCAATGCAACGGGGCTCTCTCTTTGTTCTTAGGCGGATCGGCAGGTTGAGAAATAATAGACACACACAAGATAGTGAAAGCTGGGTCCAGGGGGGTCACTACCTTCTGGTCCCACGGTGCCAACAATGCACTGGATATACCAGCATTTATTATTAAGTTTAGTGAGGGCAGGGGTAGGTTAGTGAGGGATTTAGGGTCATTTGATTATGAGGTGAGATGGTCACATGGGGATGAAGTAATTCTTTAACATAACATTTGTATATAGAAGTACAGTACATTTGTATGGAGAAGTACAGTATACAGAGATAAGAATTTACAATATAGTGTGTGTGTTAGTAATTTCTAACAGAGCCTTAAAACAGAAACACAATCTTTCCATAACCTATGATTAGCAAGATATTAATCAGCAGTAACAGTTGCAACAAAAGCTGGTTACAAACAATCCATGGAAATAGGACGTGAAGATAGACAACTGGTTAGACGAGAAATTCTCAGAAAGGAGTATGCCTTAACCCTAAAGAGGTGTAGAAGAGCCATGGCAAGATGAGGACGTTTATAGCCCTATCTTATCCATATGGACAGGCACCCCCCCGCCCCATGCATCCGTTTATAGGCTCTCCACAAGGGTCGCATTCCATTCCTAGAGCTATGAACATCTGCTTTTCTGGGATAGGAATCTTGGTGATGTGAAACCTCCCTGACCGCACGTCCATTCATAGGCTCTCTGCAGGGGGAAGCACGTCACGCGCTGTTGGCTCATTCTGGCAGTCCAACCTGGCATTGTCTTTACACAATACTGCATGCAATTTTGTATTTACAATAATTAGGAGCATTTCATCTTTTATTCTGTAGCAATAGTTTCAGGGGGTCTCCCTACATCTTTCTCTATTCCTTTCACTGTGAGCAAAAAGTTTGACTTAAGTAAAAGGCAGCAAATTCAATGCAATAACTCCAGTGAAGCCACAGGTAGTGTGAAATGCTATAAAGGATGAGGGAAATATAAATATTATATATATAATATTATAAATATATAATATTTAATATATAAGGACTTTATATATATAATTATATTATATATAATTAATTTATAATAATTATATATAATTAATTTATAATAATTATATATAATTAATTTATAATAATTATATATAATTAATTTATAATAATTATATATAATTAATTTATAATAATTATATAATCAATATAATATAATATATTTAATATTTAATATAATATATTTAATATATAATTATATTAATATAATATATAATTATATTATATTAATTTATATTAATATATAAATAATACATATAATTATATTATATATAATTAATTATATATATAACATTTAATATATAATATATTAATATAATATATTAAAGGACTAGAATGTGGGCATTAATAGCTATTTTAATAATTTCTCTTTAACTCTTAGAGACAACAGAAGCCATTGGAATAGAAGCATTTCATCATAGGAAGGACAATATTGACTGATTGATTGATTGCTTTGTCACACTAGTTGTCTTGTTAGGAATAAACTGTAGAGGGCAAGGGCAAAAATCAGAAAGGCCAGTCAAGAGACTATTGCAACAATTCCAGTGAGAGATGGTGACTTGATCAGAAAGGCTTATTAACTGACCAATTACTGAAGGGAAGCTGGAGGGAATGGAGAATGGAAAAGTTTTGAAACGGTCTGTATGGAGTAAGTGCGTGATATTGGAAGGAAAGTCACTGACAAGGAGAGAATAGAGTAACGGAAATAAAGACAGGAATTATCATTAAAATACTTGATGATTGCATATAGGCAATTTGCAAAGAGGAAGAGTAGGAATACAAAGAATACTAAGAGAATACTTGCTAGAAGTGCCAAAAACAGGCAAAAATTAATTGATTAATTAATTAATTTTTAAAAAAATAAAAAATAAACCACGTTCAGAGTGATTACCACTTTGGGAAATCTGCCTACCATCATTAAAATTGACAGACACTGGTGGCCACTAACTTAGTTTAGTCAGGTCCAACTGTCAGAATGACATGACTCCTGTCACTGTTGCCAGATTTGTGGGATATTGGAGCCAACGTAAAATGGTTTTCAAGCTTATTCTGAGAATATAGAAAGTTACCAAATAAAAAGAGGAGCAAAGTTTGTTTTTCCCTGAAGATTTCCTGAGTGAGCTTTACAAAAACTTTTGAATTCTCTGAAAATATACTGAATCATGTTCTGTTCTGTTTCTGAACTGTTTGAACCTCTTGGGACCTGTAGGAATTGCTAACAAGCTCTTAAATGTCTCCATTGCACCATATCATTTTTAGACCAATTTATCTCATCTTTGGGCAATGTGCTATACACAAAATATTTCTGTTTTATGTTTCTTTTCTAATTTGTCTCTGCGTAGCCTGCAAACTAGTGAAGTTCTTTGCCCTCCATCAGATAGGAATAAGAAAGCCAAGAAACTAAGTTTCTAACACAAAGTGCAAGGTTTTCCCATAAATTTTAAGTTCTTTTTTGATAAGATGTCTAGTGAGAAGTGAAGGCTATATACAGCTGTTTACTGTACAACTGTTACAGCTGTACATGATTAGTGTAGAAATTTAAAACAAGTAAAATTTTTGGTATTTGCAATGTAGTTTAATTGTGTATAATTATGATATTATTACTTCTATGATTTTTTAAGATAGGGTCTCACTCTGTCTTCTAGGCTGCAGTGCAGTGGCACAGTCATGGCTCACTATAGCCTTGACCTCTCAGGCTCAAGCCATCTTTCCAAATTAGTTGGCTAACTTTTAAAACTGGTTTGTGGAAACAGAGTCTCACTATGTTGCCCAGGGCAGTTTGTAACTCCTGTGCTCAAGTATCCTCTTGCCTCAGCTTCCAAAGTGCTGGAATTCCAGGTGTGAGCCACTGTGCCTGGCCTACTTCTATCATTTTTCTTTCCCTTTTTAAATTAAACTCTTGGGTTAAAGGTAAAATACAATCCAAAAGTGTTTTTTAATAAAAATCATGGATAATGGAGGTATTCTATATCAGGACACCTGTAATACATTCAAGAATGTAGCCAGAAAAAGTTTTATAGCCCTAAACCCTTTTATTAATAAAAATACAAATTATAAATGAATGAAATTTTCATGTTAAACAAGATAAGAAAAACAAACAGAAAAAATAAAGGAACAATAAAGCAAAAAATAAACAATATTTGCTTTATCAATTTATCTAAATTGAGAAACACATAATTACTAAATAAAAATAATATTTTTTGGTAAAAAATTTTCAAGAGAGACCAATTACTAGCTACCTTAACTGAGGTATATGTATAATAAAAGGACAAGGAGGAAGTAACCATTGACATGACATATGATGCATTTAAAAAATCCTACAATCTCTCTGTTATATATTTGAAAGATATAATGATAATTTCCTACAGAAATATAATTTGCCCAAATAGGCCCTACTATATGTAAAAAATTTAAATAAGCTAATTTCTCTATCAGGAAAAGAAAAATTTATCAAGACACTTCCTCAAAATCAATCATTAAGCCCAGATGATTTCAAGGAAGACTTGTATCAAAATTTCAAAGCCTGGATAGTCCCAATGATTTTGAAAATTTTTGCACCTTATAAAAAAGAAAATTTCAAAAAATTAAGGAAAATCTAATACTTTTTGTAAAGTAAGTATGACATTTATACCTAAACCTAATACAGTTAGAAAAGAAAATTATAGACAAATATCAGTTATTAATATTGATTGAAATGTAAAAATATTAGTAACAATATAACACATCATTAAGAAACTGATACATTTTGATCAAGTGTGATTTATTCTGGGAATATGATATTGATACAATATTAGGAAATTCATTGATATAAAAACCATATGAATCTTCTGGTTTGATGATTTGCTAGGAGGACTCATAGTCTTATTCATGGCTATCATATATTACAGTAAAAGGATGCAAAGCATATAAGTAAAGGGAAAAGGCATATGCGGCAATGTCCAGTGAAAAACAAGTATGAAAGTTTCTAGGAGTCCTTTCCCTGTGGAATCATATGGGCTGTGCTTAATTCCCTCAGCAACAACTTTGGACAACATACATGAAATGCTGTCCACCAGGGAAGCTCATTAGGGATTTAGTGCCTAGGGTTTCTATTAGGGGATAGTCAGGAGGCACCTTCTGCCTAGCACCTATCAAAATTCCAGACTCCTAGAAGGAAAGAAAAAGGTTAGCATAAACTACATTTTTTGTACAAGCAGTTTAGGCACAGTGAGCCATTCTTACCCATCAGAGTGATGGTAATCCTTCCAAAATCTAAGTTCTCAGCATCAGCCAAGCCTAATCTTTTAATCAGGCCTTTCGAAGGATAGAAATCAGGTCTGCTATATGTTAACTCTTTCTGCACACCATATTCATACATCTAAAAGTAAAAACCAGCTATTTTTCCTCTACAGAAGATGGAAAGTCCTTTACAAAATGTATGATTTATTCCTGAGAGATGAAAAAAAGTACAAAATTGTTAATTGATGTTTACTTTCTTAACATGATATGGGAATTTTATATAATCTTAGTCCTAGAATCAGTATTTTACTTAATTCAGAAACACTACTTGTATTTCCAATAAGATTTTAAAGAATGTATTGCACTCTTCTTACTAATGTTCAACTTAATAGTAGAGGTTAGCCAATTCAGTTAGACAAAATGAATCATTTAGAGACATAAGAATCAGAAACAAAAAGGAAAGCTATTTATATTTGTAGATGATAAGGTTTTGTAACTAGAAAACCGTAGAGATTCAGTAATAAAACTAAATTAAAATAAAACAATTCAACAGTACAGTAAACATTAAAATAGCATATCTAATACATATACACAAGTAACACATGTAACATAGTTACACAGGTAACATAACACAGGTAACACAGGTAACATAGTTACACAGGTAACATAATAACACATAAAATCAATATTCAACAATAACTATAAAATACTAAGAGATAAGTGTAAGAAGAAATGTGTAAAATCTACATGAAAAAAATTTAAAAGGCCTGAAAAATATAAAATTAAAATTATTAAAATGGGAAGAAGTCTTTTACTTTTGTGTGAGGTGCTTAAACTTTATAGAATACAGCTTAGCTCCCTATAAGTTAATTTATAATTTGGCTGCAATCTCTATGTTAATAAGTTTCTTTACATAATTAGACAAGTTGATACTGAAATTACATGTAAAAATAAACATACAAAATAAATATAAAAAATATACAAAAGAAATATAAACATATAAAAGTATACAAAATGTACAAAAATACACAAGTAAATATACAAAATTAACTTGGAAATACTAAAAAGAAAGCTGTAGTATAGGGGAAGAAATTAGCTTTACCCGATACTAAACATACTATATAAAAACCTTACAATTAAAACTGTGCATTGGTGCATGCAGACATACAGTGAAATAGGATAAAGAAGTAGTTATATAATAGAAATAAATGCAAGTAAAAAATAAACTTTAGTTTATGATAAAGGTAGAATCTTAAAACACTGAGGTGATGAGGAGATTTGTAATGCATAGCTCTGGGATCAATCAATCAATCAGTTTGCCATTTTGAAAAAGACATAATTAAATCCCTTCTCACATTATATAAAATAATAATTAAAATAAATGTAGTATTTACTTTTTTAAAGAAATCAAAACATTTCAGGATGAGATAAAACAGAGATGAATTTCTATATAACCCTATGTAGGTAAAATTCTTCTAAGTCTGAATAAAATTTCAGAGGTAATGAAAAAAATTAGTGGAACATTTGACTACATCCAAAAAAAAAAAAAAAAGAGAAAGAAAAACTTTGCAAAGCAAAAACACCATATAGAAACATCAAAATACAATTGAAAAACTGGGAGAAAATATTTGCAACATTATTTTAACAATAAAAGACTTTTTTAATTAATACAAATTGGGAGGAAAAGACTAAAAATTTGATAGAAACATAAGGGCAGAGATGTAAACTGACAACTCACAAGAATATGTCAAAAGCTCTTAGACATATGAACATTTATTTAACTTTTCTTATTATAAGGGAATTATCAATATAAACTGAGATATTATTTCTTTTATGTCATTTTAGCCAAGTTTAGATAGAAAGATGAGAGAGAGAGACAGACAGGCTGATGGAGGAGTTACAGCACTCTTTGGTGAGGATATGTGGAAAATGCACTCCCATGAACTTCTGAGGAAATGCACATTCCTAAAGAAGGATTTTTGGTTTTATCCAAAAAATCTACATAGTAACTTACGGCTAAGCAATTTCACTTCCACAAATCTAAGCAAAAGATAGGATATCACAAATTTAAGCAGAAGATAGGATATATGTGTGTGTGTGTGTGTGTGTGTGTGTGTGTGTATGCAATAATTATAATTTTCTTTTTTTTTTTCTTTTCTTTTTTTTAGACAGAGTCTCACTCTGTCACCCAGGCCAGAGTGCAGTGGTGAGCTCTGGCTCACTGCAGCCTCCACCTCCTGGGTTCAAATGATTCTCCTGACTCAGCCTCCTGAGTAGCTGGGACTACAGACGCGTGCCACCACGCCCTGCTAATTTTTTGTATTTTTAGTAGAGACAGGGTTTCACCATGTCAGTCAGGATGGTCTCGATCTCCTAACCTCATGATCCACCTGCCTTGGCCTCCCAAAGTGCTGGGATTACAGGCGTGAGCCCTCGTGTTTGGACATTTAGCTAATTTTTAACTATAATATTTTAAATAGTTAAAATTAGCTATTTTAACTATTTAAAATATTATAGTTTAAAATTAGCTAAATGTCCAATTAAATGTATAATTTAAAATATTATAGTTAAAATTAGCTAAATGTCAAAACAAAGGAGATTGACTAAATCAGAAATGTATGCAGACACAGAGTACTATGTAACTGTAAAAAAAGAAAATTTTAAGTTAATAGAGTATGATTATATTATAATTGTATATATAATTATAATATGTAGCAGGCTATTTTTAGGTAAAATAAAAGTATAAAAAAACTATACTCTATGTTGTGTTTAAAAATGGGAGGAGATAATAAAACATTCTGGTGGCTCCTCTAAAATCAAAAGTGGGAATACTAAGCCAGAAAGCAGAGGTGGATGGGAACATAGTGAAAATAATAGAATGAAGGGGGTAACATGTCAGTTCTCTGAATATACATTATGGTATGCTTCTGATAATTGGAACCATGTAAATATTTCACGTATGAGAGAGTGTGAGAGAACAAAAATAATCAATAATTATGGCAAAGGTACCATAAATAAAATTCAAACAGAAATAGATGAACCAAACTAAATTCAAATAAATAATATGATCACCCTGAAATGGCTAATGAACTAACCCAGCTAAAGCATGAGGACTACATTTGGACTATATACCTTCAAGCTCAAAACAAACACACTTTTAAACAAATATTAAAGTCTAGTTAGGAAGATTTTTGCAGAATTTAGGTTAGCATTTCTGAAATTTTTTATTGCACTTTCTAAGATTGAGCAAGCAGTTAAATATAACATGAATAATTAGATCTTATTTCTCACTGTTATGCTCCTATTCTAACATTCTCTTTCTCTCTCTCTCTCTCTCTGTCTCTGTCTCTCTCTCTCTCTGATCTCATCTGTTTCTTTGAGTTCTGCTTGAACTTTTGGAATATTTTCTGTGTATTTCATGGGATATTATTAGTTATTTTATAGCGTTGCATTTTTTATTATTTCTGTAAAATGTTACCTTTATTTGCCTTTCCAAGTCTTGTCTTACATTATCACATTTTTTAAATTAAGAAACTCTCATTTTTAAATTCCGGAAACAAAATTTATCTTTTGTTCATTCTGTTTCATCAACACAGCAATAATAATTCCTTCTGCCTGTCTTTCCTTTAATTTTTTTTTTAAATTACTTGATTAGTAATTGTACTTGATGTTTTGATATATATTCATCATTTAATGATTATATCAAGCTAAGTAACATATCTATCACCTCTTATACTTATCATTTTTTGTAGTGAGGACATTTAAAATCTACTTTTTCAGTAATTTTGAAATATACAATATATTATTATTAACTATTGTCACCATTCTGTACAGTAGATCTCAAAATCTTATTCCTCTTCCCTAACTGAAATTTTGTACCTTTGATCAACACCTCCCATGCCCCTACCCCCCAGCCTCTGGTAACCACTATTCTGGTCTCTACTTTTATAAGGTCAACATTTTAAAGTTCACATGTAAGTGAGATAATGAAGTAATTGTATTTCTTTTAAACTATTCTGGCCCCTTAACCCACTTGTGAGTTTATCTGAACTTGGTTTCAAAACATGTGAGATCACTTAACAGACAAGAAAGTTAGTATGAGTGTACTGAGATTAGCAGAGGGAAGAATGTGCAACAGAAAGTAAGGAGATTACCATAATTCCTTTGACGAGTTGGGGCATCTCTTATGAAGAGTACCAAGTGGGGCCTCCATTCTCAAGGCTAAGCAGTAATGAACCTTCAGCAGCTCAGCACTACCAACTCTCTTTTTCTGCTGCTGGAATCAGTGAAATTATTTGATTCTTTCATTGGGCAACAAGTAGGCACAAGCATACTCTCTTTGCTTATTGAACTAGTTGGTATCGTTGAGAAATCAAGGGACTTGACAACTTCACAGTGTGTTCCACTGGAGAGTTAAAACTATTTCCGATTCACTGAGTCCAAGTGCAATTTCACCAACCTCTCTTCCTCAGGCACCACAAACAAACGCATCTTACACTGCAAGCTTTTCTCAAGAACGTGAAGTTGTAGTTCCATATTGTTTTTTTCTGCAGATTCTCACAGTTGTCAATGATAATGTGAATAATAATGGATTCCTTTTAACAAGAAAAATAAAAGATTGAAACAAATGAAGCACAAAAATATGAAACATAAAAGTAGGAGAATGCAATTAATTCAGCTAAACAGTAAAATTAATGGATTTTTAACTATTGAAATTAAAAGTGACCTGAATAGATAAATAAAATAGACAAATACCTAATAAGTACAGAATAATTCAACCAAAATAAAGAAATGTCTGTCAGAAGAAGGGATATATAATCACAATAGAATAAAGACTAAAATATTTGGAAATTTAGAGAAAATGGGTAATATTCAAAAAATAGTTAATTTTTAAAAATGTAGAATACTGAGACATACAGTAATAACAATATCCTCCATCAGGAAGTTGTTTAGAAATGCCCATTAGTAAATAAGTTATAACTACCTTATGATTCTTTTGAGAATTTTAGTTAAGTTTCAAAGAACAGAAATGTCCAATGCAATGCAAATGTTCACAGCCTACAGAAAAATACCAATCCATCATTAGGCTAATGTCACAGGTTGACAAAGATAATACATATGCTGTATAAATACATTTTAGTTATTAGTTTAATTATTAAAAATGAGTAAAATTACACTGAATTGAAGGTAAAAGAGTTTAAATAATGTAATTCACCATATTCAACTAAGGTTTAGCTGATATAAATACAAGACTAGGATTGTGCATTTCATATAAAAATATTTCCTGTTTCAGGTGCCTTGTTAACCCAAATTAATCAGTTATGTTATAAACACATAGTTAAGAGCTGAAAATATTTGACAAAAATCAGCCAATATTTAAAAAAAAAGTGAAATTGGAATATAGGAAAAATGTCCAAATATGATAAAGCGTCTTTGCCAACATTTAATCGTACACATCATAATAAAAGTAAAACATTAAATTCAAGGCCAGGCATGGTGGCTCACGCCTGTAATTCCAGCACTTTGGGAGGCTGAAGCAGGAGAACCATTTGAGCCCAGGAGTTGGAGACCAGCCTGGGCAACATAGTGGGATCCCATCTGTAAAAAAAAATTTAAAAACCACGTGGGTGTGGTAGTGCCTGCCTCTACTCTCAGCTACTCAAGAGGCTGAAGTGGGAGGATTGCTTGAGATTGGAAGGTCAAGGCTACAGTGAGCCTTGATCACACCATTTTACTCCAGCCTAGGTGACTGAGTGAGACCCTGTCTCTCTGAGTCCCCTGAAACCATGTCACCTGCCGTGGGGATACCAAGAACTCTTTGCTAGATTTCAGGGAAGCAGGTTATAAGACCAGGATAATGCTATGCTAAAAGCAGGGATAGTTGTGTATTTTATAGAAAAACATTTCAGGATATTATTTCAATATTTTGGATTGTTTCTAAATTTAAGGCTAAGTCTAAAATATATTTAGATTATTAAAGATGGAAGTTTATTTCAATATTCTGTATATTTAAATGACTAATATTTAGTTTTACAAACCAGAATTTTCAAGATAAATCTCAATTTCACAGTGAAAAAAATAATCACTTGTGATTTAAATGAAATTTCATTAGTTAAAAAATTTTCTTCCTGAATCTGTAATAGAAAATAATAATAATAATAAAAATTCTACCACCTTGAATGAATTTCATTTTGGCATCCTAAAATCCATACATACAGCCAGGTTTCTTGTCATAGTAATCAAAATAATCTGCCATTTTCATTTCACTACAGTAGGACACTTCTATTTTTATACCTGATCTTCATAATCATTATTTTAATTACATGTATAATAGTTCATAGTATTTGTGTATTATGATTTAACACTCAACATTAGATTACTTCGAATTTTCAAATTTTACTTGATACATATTATTGAGTAATATTTTTGTGATAATTTACTTTTGTTTTTGAGTGATTTTTTGAAAATATAGAAAAGAAATAATTATTCATTTGAATTATTAATATTACAATAATAAATTAATTTTCATATCAATAAAAAACAAAGGCTTATGACTCTTGCTAGTCAAAGCCATTTTATTTAACAGAACTGTGCATTTTATAAGCCCTTGAAGTAAATATTTATACTAATTTTAATGTGATTGTTTTTTATTATACTTTAAGTTCTAGGGTACATGTGCACAACGTGCAGGTTTGTTACATATGTATACATGTGGCATGTTGGTGTGCTGCACCCATTAACTTGTCATTTACATTAGGTATATCTCCTAATGCTTTCCCTCCCCACTCCCCGCACCCCACAACAGGCCCCGGTGTGTGATGTTCTCCTTCCTGTGTCCAAGCATTCTCATTGTTCAATTCGCACCTATAAGTGAGAACATGCGGTGTTTGGTTTTATGTTCTTGTGATAGTTTGGTGAGAATGATGGTTTCCAGCTTCATCCATGTCCCTACAAAGGACATGAACTCATCCTTTTTTGTGGCTGCATAGTATTCCATGGTGTATGTGTGCCACATTTTCTTAATCCAGTCTATCATTGTTGGACATTTGGGTTAGTTCCAACTCTTTGCTATTGTGAATAGTGCCACAATAAACATATGTGTGCATGTGTCTTTATAGCAGCATGATTTATAATCCTTTGGGTATATACCCAGTAATGGGATGGCTGGGTCAAATGGTATTTCTAGTTCTAGATCCTTGAGGAATTGCCACACTGACTTCCACAATGGTTGAACTAGTTTACCGTCCCACCAACAGTGTAAAAGTGTTCCTATTTCTCCACATCCTCTCCAGCACCTGTTGTTTCCTGACCTTTTAATAATCGCCATTCTAACTGGTGTGAGATGGTACCTCACTGTGGTTTTGATTTGCATTTCTCTGATGGCCAGTGATGATGAGCATTTTTTCATGTGTCTGTTGGCTGCATAAATGTCTTCTTTTGAGAAGTGTCTGTTCATATCCTTTGCCCACTTTTTGTTGGGGTTGTTTATTTTTTTCTTGTAAATTTGCCTGAGTTCTTTGTAGATTCTGGATATTAGCCCTTTGTCAGATGAGTAGATTGCAAAAATGTTCTCCCATTCTGTAGGTTGCCTGTTCACTCTGATGATAGTTTCTTTTGCTGTGCAGAAGCTCTTTAGTTTAATTAGATCCCATTTGTCAATTTTGGCTTTTGTTGCCATTGCTTTTGGTGGTTTAGACATGAAGTCCTTGCCCATGCCTATGTCCTGAATGGTACTGCCTAGGTTTTCCTCTAGGGTTTTTGTGGTTTTAGGTCTAACATTTAAGTCTTTAATCCATCTTGAATTAATTTGTGTATAAGGTGTAAGGAAGGGATCCAGTTTCAGCTTTCTACATATGGCTAGCCAGTTTTCCCAGCACCATTTATTAAATAGGGAATCCTTTCCCCATTGCTGGTTTTTGTCAGGTTCGTCAAAGATCAGATGGTTGTAGATATGCGGCATTATTTCTGAGGGCTCTGTTCTGTTCCATTGGTCTATATATCTGTTTTGGTACCAGTACCATGCTGTTTTGGTTACTGTAGCATTGTAGTATAGTTTGAAGTCAGGTAGTGTGATGCCTCCAGCTTTGTTCTTTTGGCTTAGGATTGTCTTGGCAATGCAGGCTCTTTTTTGATTCCATATGAACTTTAAAGTAGTTTTTTCCAATTCTGTGAAGAAAGTCATTGGTAGCTTGATGGGGATGGCATTGAATCTATAAATTACCTTGGGCTGTATGGCCATTTTCAGGATATTGATTCTTCCTATCCATGAGCATGGAATGTTCTTCCATTTGTTTGTGTCCTCTTTTATTTTCTTGAGCAGTTGACCTCTCCTTGAAGAGGTCCTTCACATCCCTTGTAAGTTGGATTCCTAAGTATTTTATTCTCTTTGAAGCAATTGTGAATGGGAGTTCACTCATGATTTGGCTCTCTGTTTGTCTGTTATTGGTGTATAAGAATGCTTGTGATTTTTGCACATTGATTTTGTATCCTGAGACTTTGCTGAAGTTGCTTATCAGCTTAAGGAGATTTTGGGCTGAGATGATGGGGTTTTCTAAATATACAATCATGTCATCTGCAAACAGGGACAATTTGATTTCCTCTTTTCCTGATTGAATACCCTTTATTTCTTTCATTTGCCTGATTGCCCTGGCCAGAAATCCCAACACTATGTTGAATAGGAGTGGTGAGAGAGGGCATCCCTGTCTTGTGCCAGTTTTCAAAGGGAATGCTTCCAGTTTTTGCCCATTCAGTATGATATTCGCTGTGGGTTTGTCATAAATATCTCTTATTATTTTGAGTTACGTCCCATCAATACCTTCCTGGGATGCAAGGCTGGTTCAACATATGCAAATCAATAAACGTAATCCAGCATATTAACAGAAACAAAGATAAAAACCACATGATTATCTCATGGATGCAGAAAAGGCCTTTAATGTGATATTTTTAAAATTAGATACTTTTTAAAATAGTTCACTTTAGTAATCCAATTGTGCTTATTTGTATTTCTTTGATTATTAATGTTTGTATCAATGTTATTTACTTTTGTAAATTACATTGGAGAAATTGTTAAGTTATTCATTTTTATGAGTAGGCAAATTAAATACCTGATTGCATGCATCTGTCATTAGCTACATTTTTTTCCCAGATGAATTTCTAAAACAAAGATCGACTAGGAAAAAAAATCTGCAATACTATTTTAAAATACCTTTTATTCCTTGAGCGTGTATTGAGTTTTTATTTCTTAGTTGTGGCATATAAAAATATTTTTTATCTTATCAAGAGGATGCATGTCTCTTTGGGATTAGATCCTTAAAAGAATATGACACTGTAATGAGTATGACACATGAGCTCTTACAAGTCTGATATTTGACAGATCAAGTTAAATTAAGTAACAAAGAGACAAGTACCATACGGTAAGCTTCCTAGGAAAAATTACAGTATACTTCTACTCTTATTATAATGATTCATTATGCTCATTTTTATATAAAAGAAGAGGAAATGAGGAATCATTATGAGCAAAGGAAAAAGTATAGCAGAGAATATTATTAAAGTTAACTAAACCTATCTTCTTCTATTCATCTAATTTAAGCATTTGTGAAGGGCTTATATGACCAGATTACAATAAAATTATATAGAATATAAAAATCTTCTTAGTCTTATAACTCCAGTGTTTGCAGCTCATTACTGCTAAAATTATTTTCTATGATAGAAATCTGCTATAAAATTCATACAAGATCCTTTGTCTGGCTTTAAGTAACATTTCCTGTTTTGATTTATACAAATCTCTTCTCCAGACCTTCTTCTGCAATACCATAGAGTCAAAACACTTCAAACTTTCTCTCATTCTCTGAATAGGCTGTACATCAAGTTTTGCATTTTTCAGATTCTTCGGATGTCTTTCTCCATCTGTGTTAGTTTCCTATTGTTACCTGTAACAAACTATCACAAACTTAGTGGCTTAAAAACAATACCAATTATTATTTTCCAATTCTGAAGAAGTCTGAGATGGGTCAGCAGGACAGCAGTTCCTCTTGAGATTCTAGGGGAGAATTAATTTCTTGCCTCTTCCAGTTTCTAGAAGATGTATGCATTACTTGGCTCATGGCCCTGCAACAATTCAACCTCTGCCTCTTTTGTCACATCTTCTTCTCTGAGGCTGATCCTCTCACTTCTCTCTGGGGTTCTTGATTACATCAGACCCATATGGTGGGATAATATCCATTTTAGATATTTAATTTAATGCCATTTGCAAAGTCCCTTTTTCATTTTCAGTAGCATATTTACAAGTCAGGGCATGGATATATTTTAGAAGGCATTATGCTACCTACTACATCTTTTCTACCTAAAAAATTGGTAGTCATTCCTCCTGTTCCAAGTTCAAATGTCACCCCCTCGTGAGATTTTCGCATATCTCCAGATGGAGGTGATGTGGTCTTCCTTCTCTTTCTTCAGGGACTCTAATGACTAATAAACTTGCCTTCTTTCCTTTTGACTCCTTTAATTTTTCTATTCATGAGGGCTGTTTTTCACCAATTTTATTTTCATTAATTTGTCCATCTTGTCTATCCACAAAGACATTTTTCCTTTTTAAAAATCTGTCTATCTTATTAAAGTTTGCTATTTTTCAATATAATAACTTCCATGTATGAAAATATGCTATTTTACACCTTACTATTTGAGGAAGGCCAATAATATATAATAACTGAGGAAAGTGGGGCAAGATGGATGAAAAGAAGGCTCCAACAATTGTCCTCCCTATAGGAACACCAAATTGAAGAACTATCCGAACAAAAAAAAACACCTCCAGAAGAACCAAAAATCAGAAGTGCAATCGCAGTGTGTGGTTTTAACATTATATTAAGGAAAGAGGCACTGAAGAGGGAAAGACAATCTTGAATCACCTACACCAGCCCTCCTTCATCCCCCAGCAATGGCTGAGTGGTATGGAAAGAAAATCTGTGCATTCAGGGGAGGCAGCAAACAGTAATTGTGCGACTTGACGTTGGAACTCAGTACTGCCCTGTCACAGCAGAAAGCAACACAGGGCATAACTCAGCCAGTGCCTACAGAGGGAGCTTCTCTAGCCAGAGGCAAATTCTCCATTTCAGTGGTAGGAGCCTGAGTTCAGGCAAGACCTACCAGTATGGGCTAAAGTTCTTGGGGGTCTTAAATAAATTTAAAAAGCAGTCTAGGCCAAAGAGACTTCAATTCCTGGACAAGTCCTGGTGATGTGCTGGGCTTGAAGTTAGTGGATATTCGGTGGAGATGACCTAGTGAAACACCAGCTAGTGCAGCCAAGAGAGTGCTTGCATCATCGCTGCCCCAAACACAGGCAGCACAGTTTGCAGCTCTGGAAGAGACTCCTTCCCTCCACCTAAGGAGAGGAGAGGGGAGAGTAAAGAGGACTTTGTATTGAAACTTGGACATCAGCATAGCTACGGAAGAATAGGGTATCAGGAACAGTCTTTGAGGCCCCCATTCCAGGCCCTAGCTCCTGGTTGACATTTCTAGACACAGCCTGGGCCAGAAGGGTACCCATTGCCTTGAAAGGAAAGATCCAGTCCCAGCAAGATTTATCATTTGCAGACTTAAGAGCCCTTGGGCCTTCAATAAACATCAGTGGTACCCAGGCAGTTCTCACCACAGGCCTTGAGTGAGACCCAGGGCCATGCTGGCTTCAGGAGTGACCCTGCACATTCTCATCTGTGGGAACCATGGGGAGAGACTCCTTCTGGTTGAGAAACAGAGAATGAATGCAGGGGACTTTGTCTTAGAGATTAGTTCCTAGCTCAGCCACAGTGATGTAGAGAAACAAGTAGGTTCATGGGGTCCCCAGTTCTAGGCCCTGGCTCTTGGACAGCATTTCTGGGCCTGCCCTAGGTGAGAGGAGAGCCTGCTGACCTGAAGAGAGAGAATCAGACCAGGCAGGATTCAGTGGCCCCTTAGTGAACATTGGCAGTAACCAGGCAGTAATTGCCACAGACCTGGGATGGTGGTGGCCATGAGAAGAGACTCTTCTGCTTGAGGAAAAGGGGAGGAAGAGTGGAAAGGACTTTGTCTTACAGTGTGCGTGCCAGCTCAGCCACAGTAGAATAGAGCACCAGGTAGATTCCCATGCTTCCTTTCACGAGGTTCTGTCTATCAGAAGGCATCTCTGGACCCAACCAGGGCTGAAGACAATTCATGTCCCTGAAGGGAAGGACACAGACCTGGTGGAATTTGCCATCTGCTGATTGTAGAGCCCTTGGGCCTTGAGAAAACATAAGTGGTAGCCAGGCAGTAGCCACCTTAAGCCTTGGGCAAGACCAAGTGTTGTGCTGACTTTGGATCTGACTCAGCACAGTCCCAATACTGGTGCTCACAGGGGTGCATGTGTCACCCATACCCCAGGTCCAGGCAGCTCAGCACAGAGAGACAGACACTTTGTTTGGTTGGGGGGAAGTAAAGGAAAAGAACAAGAGTTTCCACCTGATATCCCAGGACATTTTCCCATATCTTACCTAAGAGCACCAAGACAGTACCTGTATAAGTCTGAAAGAGCCACAGTATTTTTGTGCATGGGGTGCTTCCTGATGCCTACGTGGCTACAGTGACCAAAGACTAAGGTCCCAACACCCAAGTCCTTTTTAATACTTGGAAAAACTTGCCAAGGACATGTATAAACAATCCAAGACTGCAAAAATTACAATCAATATCTAACTCTTCAATGCCAAGAAAAAAAAACAATGGACATCCACAGGCATCAAGACCATCCAGGAAAATATGATCTCACCGAATGAACTATATAAGATGTCAGTGACCAATTCCAGACAGACAGAGATATACACAAAATATAAAACAATAAATTAAGGCTTATCACAATAAAAATATCCTTCATTAAAATAAAGACAAGAAGGAAGAAAACATCACAAAACAACCAGAAAACAAATTAAAAAATGGCAGGAGTCAATTCCTATTTATCAATAATAACATTGAATGAAAATGGACTAAACTCTCCAATCAAAAGACATAAAGAGGAGAAATGGATGAAGAAAACCAAGGCCCCAAAATTATGTTGCCTACAAGAAACATATTTCAGCTATAAAGACATACATCCACTAAAAATAGAAGGATGGAAAAAGATATTCCATGCCAATGGAACCAAACATAGAAAAAAAGTTGTCTGTATTTATATCGGACAAAACAGATTTTAAGACAAAGACTATAAAAAGAGGCAAATGTCAGAATATAATGATAAAGGGGTCAGCTCAGCAAGAGAATATAACAATTGTAAATACATGTGCACCCAACAATGGAGCACACAGATTATATAAAGCAAATATTATTAGAGCTAAAGAGAGAGCTAGACCTCAATAAAATAATAGCTGGGGATTTCAACACCACATTTCAGCATTGGAAAGATCATACAGACAGAAAATCAACAATGAAACATCGGGTTGGAGGTGGACTATAGACCAAATGGACCTAATAGATGTTGCACAGAATATTTTATCCAATGACTGCAGAATTCACATTCTTCTCCTCAGCCCATGGATCATTTTGAAGGGTATGTTATGTCACAAAGCTAGCCTTAAAAATTCCAAAATTATTGAAACTATATTAAATAACTTTTCTGACTACAAGGCGGTAAAACTAGAAATCAATAACAGAGAAATTTTGGAAACTATGCAAACACATGGAAATTAAATAATATTCTCTCAAATAACTAGTGGGTCAGTGCAAAATTTAAGAAGAAAATTTAAAAAAACAAACAAATGCACATGGAAACACAACATATCAAAACCTGTGGTATTCCTCAAAAGCAGTACTTAGAATGTTTATAGCAAGAAGTGCTTCAATCAAAAAAGTAGAAAAACTTGAAAAAACTACTTAATGATATATCTTAAAGAACTAGAAAAGAAAGAGCAAAGTAAACCCAAAATCAGTAAAGGAAAGAAATAATAAAACCTGAAAAGAGGGGAGAGTCGGAAAAAGCGTACTTGGAGACCTTACCTTCAAGACTGAAGACTAGTCATCACAAACGGCACTTGGAGTGCACTGAGCCAAGGAACAAAGAAGGCCACATTGGGCACCAGATATTGCAGGATCTGGCCAGCAGCCTGCAATGCAACGGGGCTCTCTGTTGTTAGGCAGATCAGCAGATTGAGAAATAACAGACACACACAAGATAGTGAAAGCTGGGTCCAGGGGGGTCACTGCCTTCTGGTCCCGTGGTGCCAACAATGCACTAGATATACCAGCATTTATTATTAAGTTTAGTGAGGGCGGGGGTAGGTTAGTGAGGGATTTAGGGTCATTTGATTATGAGGTGAGATGGTCACATGGGGATGAAGTAATTCTTTAACATAACATTTGTATGTAGAAGTACAGTACATTTGTATGGAGAAGTACAGTATACAGAGATAAGAATTTACAGTATAATGTGTGTGTAATTTCTAACAGAGCCTTAAAACAGAAACACAATCTTTCCATAACGTATGATTAACAAGATATTAATCAGCAGTAACAATTGCAACAAAAGCTGGTTACAAACAATCCATGGAAACAGGATGTGAAGCTAGACAACCGGTTAGACCAGAAATTCTCAGAAAGGAGTATGCCTTAACCCTAAAGAGGCCTAGAAGAGCCATGGCAAGATGAGGACGTTTATAGCCCTATCTTATCCATATGGACAGGCGCCCCCCCATGCGTCTGTTTATAGGCTCTCCACAAAGGTCGCATTCCATTCCTAGAGCTATGAACATCTGCTTTTCTGGGATGGGAATCTTGGTGATGTGAAACCTCCCTGACTGTACGTCCATTCATAGGCTCTCTGCAGGGGGAAGCACATCATGTGCTGTTGGCTCGTTCTGGCAGTCCAACCTGGCATTGTCTTTACACAATCCTGCATGGAATTTTGTATTTACAATAATTAGGAGCATTTCATCTTTTATTCTGTAGCAATAGTTTCAAGGGGTCTCCCTGCAAGTATGTATTAAAGTTTTACACTATTAAGATAAATTGAACATAATAAAAATTAAAACTTTGTGTTTCAGAGGACACCATAAAGAAGGTGAAAAGATGACAAACAGAATAGGAGACAATTTTTACAGATCATAATCTGATAAGGCAGCGGTCCCCAACCTTTTTGGCAACAGGGACTGGTTTTGTGGAAGACAGTGTTTCCACGGACCGTGGTGGCAGGGAATGGTTTCAGGATGAAACTGTTCCACCTCAGATCATCAGGCATTAGTTAGAGTATCATAAGGAGCATGCAACCTAGATCTTTAACATGTGCAGTTCACAGTAGGGTTCTTACTCCTGTGAGAATCTAATGCCTGAGTGAAGGAGTCGGAGCTTAGGTGATAATGTTCACTGGCCCACCACTCACCTCCTGCCCTGCAGCTCCAGTTCCTAACAGGCCACGGACAGGTTCTGGTTCATGGCCCAGGGGGTGGGGACCCCTGCGATAAGGGTTTTGTATCTACAATGTATATGAAGAACTTTTACAACTCAGTAATAAAAAGACAACTCATTTAAAAATGGGCAATGAATCTGAATAGACACTTCTCCAAGGGGGGTATACAGATGGCTAATAAACACTAAAATGTTGTTTGACATCATTAGCCATCAGGGAAATACAAAACCACAATGAAATAACACTGCATACTAACTAGGATGGGTATGTTCAAAAGATCACTTAATAACAAATCTTGGTGAGGATTTTGAAAAACTGAATCTTTCATACATTGCTGGTGGGAAAAGAAAATTGTGCAGTCACTTTGAAAAACAGTCTGGCAATTTTTCAAAAGGTTAAACATAGAGTTACCATATGACCCAGCACATGACTCCTAGGTGCATGTGTGTCTATATCCATACAGTGGAATGTTATTCAGGCATAAAAAGAAATGTAGTACTGATCCATGCTGCCACATGGATGAACCTTGAAAACCTGCTAAGCTTAGCAAAGAAGCCAGTCACAAAAGACCAGGTAGCATATGATTCCCTTCTTCCTTTAGTTACCAACTTTCTGTCTCCTCATCCTCAATCTCTTTACTATTGCTGGATCAATCCTACCCTTATAGAACATATACCAGTACCTCCTACCTTAAAAAAAAGATTCTCCATTGAACCTATAATTCCCCTCTACCAATGCTAATTTCATGATTACACTTCATCACCAGACTTCTCCAAAGCACTTCTTCACACTGTCATCATTTTCTTACTTTAGAGTCACTCTCTTACCCACTCTTGTCTGGCTTCTGCCCCTCATCACTCCACCAAGAATTTTTAAAAGAATACCAATAATCTACAAGCTACCCAATGTAATGGATATTTCTCTGTCCATACTGTACTCCATCTCCCAGCTACTTCCAGTAGAAGTTGACTACTTCATCGTTCTTGAAAAAATCTCTTCACCTTTAAGTTATACAACATTCCATGGCTTTTCCTTAATCGCTCTGTCTCTTTTTCTGTCATCTTTTCCACTTAACATCTGACTGTTCATATTCTCTGGGCTCAGTCCTGCATTTTCTGCTTTTTTTCCTCTGTTCATTTTTCTCTGTATTCTCTCTTCCTGGAGTTTCGTCCATTCCCCTGGCTTGAAATACCATCCATATGACCATGATACCACATTTAAACCTCTAGCTAGATAGTTCAGATATACTAATTTTTTTTCCCCTGTAACTCTGTTCACCCTTTCTTAGCAAATGTTATCACTGCCCACCTACATAGTTGATTAAGCAAGAATCTAAAAGTCATACCTGATTCCTCTTTCTCCCTCATTCCCTGTAATTAATCCATAAGCAAGTCTTATTGATCCTACCTCCAAATCTATTTTGAATCTATTTATTTACCTTTATCTCCATGGCTCTTACAGTCATCTAGACCTCTTTTATCTGTTGCCTAAGGCTCACCTGTTGGCCTCCTGACCTTCCAGTTTGCCCCCTTTCAGTAGCCATCTAGCTTCCAGCTGATCTTAAAAGTAAAAGAGATTATGTCAGCTCCTACTTAAAACATTGAAATGATTTCTTATTACATTAGCCAGAAGGCTCTGTGGCTGTCACATTTCCTGGAGTCAGATCCTGGTTTCCCTACTCTAGCTGTGTCTATCTTGGACAAATTGCTTAATCTCTCTGGAGAATAATATGTAGCGGCAAAGTTAAGAAGATGACTCATGTAAAGTTATTACTATGCCTGCCACTCAAGAAGTGTTATTATTATTATTAATGTTCTGTGGCCTGCAAAGCCCTGTGTGATCAGACATCTGTGGGCTAAGGTATCAGGTTAAATACTTGAGAATGCCTTACTTAATGACTTTCCAAAGTTGGGCTTTCCTTCCATTTGTCTCTATCTCAACAACCTCTTTATTTACTTTATATTTATCATCATCTGTAATTATCTTTGTCTTTTGTTTCTTGCTTTTCTATTCCCCTAGACTATATGCTTCATAGAGAGGATCTAAATCTAACTTATTTACCATTGTAACTATAGTACCTCGCACAGTTCTTGTCACATAAAAGGAATTTAATAAATATTTGTTTATTAAAATAATTACTGAATCTCACATTCTTGGCAAGACCTTTGGAGGTTGACTTTTTCATCAGTTTTTCATTTTGATTCAATTTGACTTTGAATATAACATCTGTTTATAATGCAGGGATCTGTTTTATATGTCATGAGGGAGAATTTTCTTATATCCCCTTTCAGTAGTTTCTTACATTAAATTGGGGGAAGAGAACAAGCATGCCAATAATGAAATTTCTTTGGTTTATAAGACAAGCTTTCTCATATTTTAATATTGTGCTTTCAAATATGTAGGATAACTTCTGACTCCCACAAAAGGAAAATTTGAAACATCACATTAGATAGTATCAACATAATTTATATTTATTATTCACCTTGGATCCCATCCAGAGGATATTTGTTATTGAACTACTTAAAATTCCTTAAAATATTCTTACAGAATGGACACCAAGGTGGCATTATAGGAATATATTTCAATTAGAGTTAAATTATATGTGGTAAAAGAAAAGCATATTCTTATAAGGGCATTATTTTAAATACTTTTCTAGTCACTAATGTTTTTCTAATCAACATATAAATACTTGGAAACGGTGGTATACCTAATAAGATCAGGAAGTTTTTTTCCCAGATCACAGTAGTATCAAATAGTTGCTTGTAATTTTTCCTCACTTCTGTAATATAAAACTATATTTAAAGGTATAGTCTCTAATATAAAAATCTTTAAATGGAAGTTTCATATGTATTTTTTACTTTGGTACTTTCAACATTTATAATATGTTGAACTTAAGCAGTACAATGTTTTGGTTAGATTCTTCTCATTTATACATATACATATATGTATTATATATATTTATATTTATATATGTTATATATATGTATGTGTGTATATATATACCTATATATATATATATATATATATATATATATATATTTTTTTTTTTTTTTTTTTTTTTTTTGAGAAAGGGTTTTGCTCTGTCACCCAGGCTGGAGTGCAGTGGGACCATCTCAGCTCACTTCAACCTCTGTCTTCCTGACTCAAGCCATCCTCTCACCTCAGCCTCCCAAGTAGCTGGGACTGCAGGCATGTGCCACCACGTCTGGCTAATTTTTTTGTATTTTTTGTATAGGTGGGTTTCACCATGTTGCCCAGGCTGATCTCTAACTCCTGGGCTCAAATGATCTGCCTGTTAAGGCTCCAGAAGTGCTGGGATTACAGGCATGAGCCACCAGGCCTGGCATAAAAATTTTCTTTAGAACAAAAAATATTTTTAACTGAAAAAAGGGAATTTTAAGTATATACCTTACTATTATTGGATTAGTCATCTCAGGCTTTACTCCTGGCTCATTTATTTTATGATCTTGGTTATATAAGCAAAGTTTAATGTTCCAATTTTTCAATGAGGTAAAATGAAAAGGTTGAAATTTTACCATCTTTTGGAATATTTGAAAGTATTGACCACAGGAATCAGATTTTTAGTCTAATTATTGATATATTAGTTTGCATAAGAGAAGAAATTAATTTTTCGAGACAGCTTCTACCTCTTTCATACACATGAATGAAGTCTTTGATTAAATGATAAAAATATTATCTTCTCAGATCGTTTCAGTTTTCTAAATACTGAATTACTTTAAAATATATTATCTTAAGCTCAGAAGTACATCTTCTGAAAAATAATGTTTTTCTTAACCAGAACTAATAATTTAAAAGTTCAGCATATAATGGGCAATCCTCTTAACTAGCCCTTCCTCTTCCATTTTTCCTTTCCTCTTTTGCTGTTATATTAAATCATATCTTACACTTAAGATATGATTTTTTTCAGTGGAATTATTGATTTTACATATAGCAACCATTTTACTTATCTTAAATCATTCGCTTAGAAAATTTACTTATTTACTAATGAGTAAAACTAAAGTGAAAAACTCATTAAAACATTATTATATGCACACACATAAAAGACCTTTAGTTTTTAAAAAATTTCTCAAACCAGTTAATTTTTTGCCGTGGTGTTCTTCAACACTCCCTAGTACAAAGGTGCCATTAGAAAGCAAGCAAGAATAGTTTTGAGCTGATTTTTAGAATGTATTTTTTAAACAATGGTAGGTTCAAGATGAGGAATAAAAGAAGTAGACCTTTTCTTATATAAGAAGTACTAGGAATAATGGGTTATTGGCAGTATCAAAAAAACAAGATTCTTTTCCAAATTCATATGTCTCATAGAATTTAGTGGTCTGAAACCATTAGAAGCATAGTTCTTCCAGGGGTTAATAATATATTCTGCCAATAGCCAACTTAGTTATTGGACCAGGGACAAAGTCTCAAACATACATATTTGTCTAAATATTTTACCTTTCTGCAGGACACCTCAGTAGAATATGTAAAAAAATCCTTCCATTTATTTTACTAATTTTGTTAGGCCAGAAGTTTTCATTTTTCTCCTTTTATATAAATCAGTAAAAGCAATTTCAGTAGGTCCAAGAAAATAAAAAACATTTATTCCAAGCCAGTCTCCCCACTGTATTTGTTTGCAGCCTTACATCTGTCAGAGAGTAAATAGTTGACTATTTTTTCCATTTTGTACTTTTTATTCATTTAATATTCCTTATGAACCATACCATACATTAAGTTCTTTTAAAATATTTTTGTTTTACGAAACGTAGATTTAATAGAAGATATAGGACTTAAAGAAGAATTGGGTAGCCTTCTTAAGCAATTCATCTAACATGAGCTTGTGCAAATTGTTTTAAACTTTTCCTGATGGTAAATTTGAAACTAATGATTCCTTCTGCCTTTAATTTATGGGTTTTTTTGCAAGTATCAAGTAATATGTTTGTAAAAATACTTAGTAAGCTGTGAACAACAATTCAAAATTGATGGTAGGATTATGAGCATATTGAAATTTTTTGCAGAATTTATAAACTCAGAAATACTGAAAAGAGCAAGACCTTTGATTTACTAAAATGTTTCATTTTAGTTAATGGGGTGGTATAGAGTGGTGTTCACTCTCTTATATGTAATATAAATACTTATAGCAGTGTGATCATCCCTGGTTACTGATATAAACTAGATTTTACATAGTACTACGTTTTAAAAGAAGTAGATTAAATGATTTTACATTCATTTTTGGAAAAATACCTTAGGGCCACATAATGATTTTTCTTTCAAAAATATTTTAAAAACTAATGATAACTAAAATGTAAAGCTTTACAGGAATTAACAAAGATACATTCACATTCCCATTTTTGTCAAGGAGATATTGAATACTTTCTTTTTCATATGCAGCCACCTTGGTAGCCCATCTGCTTTATTAGGATTGCACTATTAAGGTTACCATAAATTACTAACAAGTATGCCTCCCAAATTCTTAACTTACTCAGTAATCTTTGCAATTATAGAAAAACAGAACTTAATTTTATCTTATTTATTAGAACTCAAGTCTACTTCATTTTGAAAATAGGTAAATACAGATGACTCTGAATTTGCCACCTTTCACTTTACATTTATATTGCTTCACTATTAAGGAAAAATGCTGGCACTCTAGACCCATTGAAAGACTCACTTGGGGGTTTCTTTTTAGGAGAGCTGGAAACAGAGAATTCTTTTTGTTATATTGGCAGGTTTTAGTTTCTTCAGGGATTTGTTGTTGTTGTTTTGTCTCTTTATTTTGGTCTAAATATCTTCAAAACTTCAGTGATGGAAATATGTTTTTTTTAAAAATACAAATTAAATAAAATTTAGCTCTTCCTACAATAGTTTGGGCTCTAAATGATTTCTCTCGATCAAACTTCCATTTATTTTTAATATTTTATATATTCACCCATTTCATTTTTTAGGAGATTTTATGAAGATGGAGCAATTGTCTTGGGTGAAGAAGCAAATATGCTTGCTGGCATGCTTCTAGGACTCAATGCTATTGATTTCAGGTACTTAACCAAATGCATTCAGTTTTTAAATTATTCTATATCTTAATAGTTTCTACTTATGATTTTTTTCTTTCAGTTGTCTAAGTAAAGCACACAGTTGGATATTGTTATTTGATTCATGTTGTTCTCTTTCAAATGACATCAGTTTGTTTTCTAAATGAGTTTGCTCTCAGAAAAGAGACTGCCTGAAACTTAATGAATTGATAGGCTTGCTCTGTAGCTTGGATAAAAAGAAAACTTAGACTATATCCCATTCCCCAACAGCCCCCTCCCTAATGAAGGAAGGCTTTGAATCTTATCTCTTAGTATTTTTCAGCTACTGCTTTAAAATTAAAAGAAATAGACTTAAAGTAGTTTCAAAGCCAGAAAGATTCTCATTATCTCACGTGTTGAGATAAGATCCTGAGAGGCTATCTTGGGTATCTTACGTCTCTTATGTTATGTATGGAGAATATTAAAAAAAAAAATTGTTAAAATTTACTTTTATTGTCAACAAGATGAACTGGTTCTACACTAAAATAACAAGTGCTAAAAATGGGCAATACAAGTTCTTTTTAGATTTATAGACACTTTTTTTGCATTTCTTTAATCGATCCCAGATTTTACATTATATTGAAAGTAAAAGGTTTGTCTATAAGAAAACTCAAACACAAGGAATGAAGGAAATATTATATTTTTATTGAAATATAACATTTGAAAATTCAGGAATATTAACAAAATAAGTATAAGACAAATGAAATTCTACTTTTGAGTCTTGATAAAAATAATGCTGTTCGTTTTCACTGAAGTTATCTTTTATAGTAAAGCACTTCCTTTTCTAAATATTTGTCACTTGACAAGTCTAACTTTATTAAAATTTAATAAGCTAGTATTAGGTTTAATTAGCTTAATTGTGGAGGATGAACATGATAGATGGAATGTGAAGGTTGTCTTTTTGATCCCTCTATGGATGTTAACTTTTTATATCACGTCACTAGCTCTGTCTAAATTTGTTACAGTCTTGTTTTGTTTGTTTGTTGTTTTATTGTTTTAAAAAAAACAAGGCCAGGCGCGGTGGCTTTCACCTGTAATCCCAACACTTTAGGAGGCTGAGGCGGGCAGATCACCTGAGGTCAGGAGTTCAAGACCAGCCTGGCCAACGTGGCGAAACCCTGTCTCTACTAAAAATACAAAAATTACCCAGGCATGGTAGTGGGTGCCTGTAATCCCAGCTACCCAGGAGGCTGAGGCAGGAGAATCGCTGGAACCCGGGAGGCAGAGGCTGCAGTGAGCCAAGATCATGCCACAGCACTCCAGCCTGGGTGACAGAGCAAGACTCCCTCTCAAAAAAAAAGAAAAAAAAAAACAAACAAAAAAACTGGGATTAAGAATGTTAACTGTTGGTTTAATGTAACCCATTGATAGTGTATTAATTTGTACAATGCCTTGTCATTGGTATTGAAGGTAGAATATTTTATTCAGGCGTTTATTTCTGACAAGTAACAATTAAATTGCAAACAAAAAAATTCGCTTGCCATTTGATGAGAGAAACGTCTCTGGCAAGAGATTTTTCATGAAACTTAACTTTGATTTAAAATTTTATATATTAATAGGAAATATTTATTTTCTATTGTCTTAGTTTCTGCCTAAAGGGAGAGGGGCTGGATGGCAGTTTTCCTGCTGTAATAGACTATACACCATATTTGAAGTATATCCAAAGGTATGTGACATTTTGAGATATGTTTTTTAAAATCTTATTTAAAATTGAATGTCTTGTGCAATGTTTGTCTGATCAAAACTACTTTGTACTAAATATTCGTTCCAATATCAGAAATCATTAAAGGGTACAAGCTTCAGTTGCATTTTTAGTATTTATTATTTAAAAAGCACACACCTTTTATGTAAATATACACTTTTTAACATAATTGTAATCCTAGCATCTAGTTTTTTAAAATAACAAAAACATTTATTCATATTGCTGTAGTCATTATAATAACTTTAATAGATCTGAAATAGTCTACTGAGATTTTGAAACTATAATTCAGTATTTAGATTGTTTTCCATTTTTTCTCATAAAAAAGGATAAATAACATTTTATGCATATCAATTTTCCTTTTGTTTTCATTGTAAATTGTCGGAGCTATCCAGATAAATTATCTGAAAAATCTGATGACTCTTAAAATATGTCTTTTAAAGAGTTGTAGCAATTTATTCTGTTACCAATACTGTGTGAGAATTCTGGATTTCCCACAATCTCATCAGCATTAAATAATAATTAATGACATCTATGTATGTTTCTAAGGTCTGCTTGAAAGATTATTTCCTGACTAGAATGATGATCTTTATATACTTCTTTATTTTTCCATAAATTATTGGGGTTCAGGTGGTATTTGATTACATGAGTAAGTTCTTCAGTGGTGATTTGTGAGATTTTGGAACACCCATCACCTGAGCAGTGTACACTGCACCATATTGTTGTCTGTTATCCCTCACCCCCTCCCACTCTTCCCCACAAGTCCCCAAAGTCCACAATATCATTCTTATGCCTTTGCGTCCTCATGGCTTAGCTCCCACGTATAAGTGAGAATATACGATGTTTGGTTTTCCATTCCTGAGTTACTTCACTTAGAATAATAGTCTCCAATCTCATCCAGGTCATCACAAATGCTGTTAATGCATTCCTTTTTATGGCTGCGTAGTATTCCATCATAGATAAATAGATAGATAGATAGATAGATAGATAGATAGATAGATAGATAGATATCATGGTTTTTTTAATTGAGAAAATGAGCTTTTATTTGTCTATAATTTATCATGCATTCTTGGAAAATATAAGCAAGAGATTAGCTGAAAGTAAAAAATCTGGGATGATTATTAAATCTAAAAACTACAGATAGTGTTAAGAATTCAAATTTTTCACCTTTCCCTCTCATCCCCAGGGTGGAATATAAGACGAAAATTTAGCGAACTAAGGCCGGGCACAGTGGCTCACACCTGTAATCCTAGCACTTTGGGAGGCCGAGGTGGGCGGATCACGAGGTCAGGAGATAGAGACCATCCGGGCTAACACGGTGAAACCCCGTCTCTACTAAAAATACAAAAAAATTAGCCAGGTGTGGTGGCACGCGCCTGTAGTCCCCACTACTCAGGAGGCTGAGGCAGGAGAATGGTGTGAACCTGGGAGGCGGAGGTTGCAGTGAGCTGAGATCATGCCACTGCACCCCAACCTGGGTGACAGAGCGAGATTCCGTCTCAAAAAAAAAAAAAAGGGAACTAAGGTAGTTACATACTGACAGTTCTCAAGGTGTCTTCAAAACAAATCTTCCTTGTATAACACAGTTTCTTTATCCACTTGATTGATGAGCATTTGGGTTGGTTCCACGATTTTGCAGTTGCGAATTGTGCTGCTATAAACATGCGTGTGCAAGTATCTTTTTCAAATAATAACTTATTTTCCTCTGGGCAGATACCCAGTGGTGGGATTGATGGATCAAATGGTAGTTCTACTTTTAGTTCCTTAAGGAATCTCCATGCTGTTTTCCATAGTGGCTGTACTAGTTTATATTACCACCAGCAGTGTAGAAGTGTTCCCTGTTTGCTGCATCCACACCAACATCTACTGTTTTTTGATTTTTTTTATTATGGCCATTCTTGCAGGAGTAAGGTGGTATCACATTGTTATTTGATTTGCATTTTGCTGATCATTAGTGATGTTGCGCATTTTCATATGTTTGTTGCCATTTGTATATCTTCTTTTGAGAATGGTCTATTCATGTCCGTAGCCCACTTTTTGATGGGATTGTTTGGTTTTTTTCATACTGATTTGTTTGAGTTGTTTGTAGATTCTGGATATTAGTCCTTTGTCAGATATATAGGTTGTGAAGATTTTCTCCTCCTCTGTGGGTTGTCTTACTCTGCTGACTGTTCCTTTTGCCGTGCAAAAGCTCTTTAGTTTAATTAGGTCCCAGCTATTTATCTTTGTTTTTGTTGCATTTGCTTTTGAGTTCATGGTCATGAAATCCTTGCCTAAGCCAATATCTAGAAGGGTTTTTCCAAAGTTATCTTGCAGAGTTTTTATAGTTTCAGGTCTTAGGTTTTAGTCCTTAATCCATCTTGAGTGATTTTTGTATAAGGTGAGAGATGAGGATCCAATTTCATTCTCCTTCATGTGGCTAGCCAGTTATCCCAGCATCATTTGTTGAAAAGGGTGTCCTTTCTCCACTTTATATTTCTGTTTGCTTTGTCGTAGATCAGTTGGCTGTAAGTATTTGGGTTTATTTCTGGGTTCTCTATTCTGTTCCACTGGTCTATGTGCCTATTTTAATACCAGTACCACACTGTTTTGGTGACTAGGGCCATATAGTATAGTTTGAAATCAGATAGGGTGATGTCTCCAAATTTGTTCTTTTTGCTTAGTCTTACTTTGGCTATGTGGGTTCTTTTTTGGTTCCATATGAATTTTAGAATTTTTTTTCTAATTCTATGAAGAATGGTGGTGGTATTTTGATGGGAATTGCATTGAGTTTGTAGATTGCTTTTGGTAGTATGGTCATTATTCACAATATTGATTCTACCCATCCATGAGCATGGGATGTGTTTCCATTTGTTCATGTAATCTGTGATTTCTTTCAGCAGTGTTTTGTAGTTTTCCTTGTAAAGGTCTTTCAACTCCTTGGTTGAATATATTCCTAAGTACTTACTTTTATTTTGTTTTTCAGCTATTGTAAAAGGGATTGAGTTCTTGATTTGATTCTCCACTTGGTTGCTGTTGGTATATAGAAGAGTTACTGATTTGTGTACATTAATATTGTATCTAGAACCTTTGCTGAATTCTTTTATCAATCATAGGAACTTTCTGGAGGAGTCCTCAGGGTTTTCAAGGTAAACGATCATATCATCAGCAAACAGTGACAGTTTGACTTTCTCTTTACCGATGTGGATGCTCTTTATTTCTTTCTCCTGATTGCTCTAGCTAGGACTTCCAGTACTATGTTGAAGAGGAGTGGTGAGAGTGGACATCTTTGTCCTGTTCCAGTTCTCAGAGGGAATGCTTTTAAGTTTTTCTCATTCAGTACTATGTTGGCTGTGGGTTTGTCATAGATGGCTTTTATTACATCAAGGTAGGTCCCTTGTATGCCGATTTTGCTGACATTTTTAATCATAAAGGGATGTGCTGGATTTTATTGAATGCTTTTTCTGCATCTATTGAGATGATCATGTGATTTGTGTTTTTAGTTCTGTTTATGTGGTGTACCACATTTATTGACTTGCATATGTTAAAGCATCCCTGCATCCCTGGTATGAAACCCACTTGATCATGATAGATTATCTTTTTGATATGTTGTTGGATTCAGTTAGCTAGTATTTTGTTAAGGATTTTAGCATCTATGTTCATCAAGAATATAGGTCTGTAGTTTTCTTTTTTGATTATGTCCTTTCCTGGTTTTGGTATGAGGGTGATGCTGGCTTCATAGAATGTATTAGGGAAGGTTCCTTCTTTCTCTATCTTATGGAATAATGTCAAAAGGATTGGTACCAATTCTTTGAATGTCTGGTAAAATTCTGTGAATCCATCTGGTCCTCAGCTTCTTTTTTGTTGGTAATTTTTTAATTATCATTTCAATATTCCTGCTTGTTATTGGTCTGTTCAGCGTATCTAATTCTTCCTGAAATAAGCTAGGAGGGTTGTATTTTTCCATGAATTTATCCATCTCATCTAGGTTTTCTAGTTTATATGCATAAAGGTGTTCATAGTAGCCTTGAACGATCTTTTGTTTTCAGTGGTGTCAGTTGTAATATCTCGTTTCATTTCTTAGTGAGGTTATTTTCTATTTTCTTTTCTTGGTTAATCTTGCTGATGGTCTATCAATTTTATTTATCTTTTCAAAGAACCAGCTTTTTGTTTCATTTATCTTTTGTATTTTTTTGTTTCAATTTCATTTAATTCTGCTCTGATCTTGGTGATTTTCTTTCTTCTGCTAGGTCTGTGTTTGATTTGTTCTTGTTTCTCTAGTGCCTTGAGGCATGACCTTAGAACGTCAGTTTGTACTCTTTCAGTCTTTTTGATATAGGTATTTAGGGCCATGAACTTTCCTTTTAGCACCGCCTTTGCTGTATCCGAGAGGTTTTGATAGGTTGTGTCATTATTGTTGTTCAGTTTGAAAAATTTTTTATTTCCATCATTATTTTGTTTTTGACTCAATGCTCATTAAGGAGCAGGTTATTTAATTTCCATGTACTTGCATGGTTTTGAAGGTTCCTTTTGCAATTGACTTCCAGTTTTATTCCAATGTAGTCTGAGAGAGTGCTTGATATAATTTCAATTTTCTTAAATTTATTGAGGTTCATTTTATGGCCTATCATATGGTCTATCTTGGAGAAAGTTCCATGTGCTGTGGGATAGAATGTGTATCCTGCAGATGTTGAATGAAATGTTCTGTATATATTTGTTAAGCCCATTTGCTCCAAGGTATAGTTTAAATCCATTGTTTCTTTGTTGACTTTCTGTCTTGATGACCTCTCTAGTGCTGTCAGTGGAGTAGTGAAGCCCACCCACCCACAGCAACTATTATTGTGTTGCTGTCTATCTCATTTCTTATGTCTATTAGTAATTGTTTTATACATTTGGGAGCTCCAGTGTTTGGTGCTTATACATTTAGGATTGTGATATTTTCCTGTTGGAAAAGGCCTTTTACTATTGTATAATGTACTTCTTTGTCTCTTTTACCTGCTGTTGCTTTAAAGCTTGTTTTGTCTGATATAAGAATAGCTACTCCTGCTCACTTTTGGTGTCCATTTGCATGAAATGCCTTTTTCCACCCCTTTACTTTAAGTTTATGTGAGTCCTTATGTGTTAGGTGAGTCTCCTGAAGGCAGAAGATGGTTGGTGAGTTCTTATCCATTGTGCAGTTCTGTATCATTTAAGTGGAGCTTTTAGGCCATTTACATTCAATGTCAGTATTGAAATGTGAGGTACCCTTGCATTCATTGTGCTCTTTGTTGCCTGTGTACTTTGGTTATTTGTTTGTTTTTTATTTTTGCTTTTTAACTTGTAATTTTCTCTGGTCCCTCCATGATTAGCGTAATGACTAACCTCCTGAATTCTTTTTCAGGTAAATCAGGGATTTCTTCTTGGTTTGGATCCATTGCTCATGAGCTAGTATGATTTTTTGGGTGTGTTGAAGAGGCTTGCTTTGTTATATTACCAGGGTTGGTTTTCTGGTTCCTTCTCATTTGGGTAGCCTCTGTCAGAGGGAAGGTCTAGGGCTGATGGCTGTTGTTCAGATTCTTTTGTCCCACGGGGTGTTCCCTTGATGTAGTACTCTCCCCCTTTTCCTATGGGTGTGTCTTCCTGTGAGCCTAGCTGTAGTGATTGTTGTCTCTCTTCTGGGTCTAGCCACTCAGTGAGTCTACTTGGCTCTTGGCTTCTACTGGGGGGGTGTGTGCACAGAGTCCTGTGATGTGAGCCATCTATGGGTCTCTCAGCCGTGGATACCAGCGCCTGTTCTGGCGGAGGTAGCAGGGGGGTGAGGGGTTGCAATGGACTCTGTGAGGGTTGTTAGCTTTGGTGGTTTAATGCTCTATTTTTGTGCTGATTGGCCTCTTGCCAGGAGGTGGCGCATTCCAGAGAGCATCAGCTGTGGTAGTATGGGGAGGAACCAGTGGTGGGCGGGACCCTAGAACTCCCAAGATTATATGCCCTTTGTCTTCCGCTGCCAGGGTGGGTAGGGAAGGACCATCAGGTGGGGGCAGGGCTAGGCGTGTCTGAGCTCAGACTCTCCTTGGGCGGGTCTTGCTATGGCTGCTGTTGGGGATAGGAGTGAGATTCCCAGGTCACTGGAGTTGTGTACCTAGGAGGATTATGGCTGCCTCTGCTGAGACCTGCAGATTGTCAGGGAAGTGGGGGAAAGCAGGCAGTCACAGGCTTCACCCAGCTCACATGCAAACCAAAAGGCCAGTCTCACTCCCACCATGCCCCTGCCAACAGCCCAAGTCTGTTTCCAGGCAGAGGGTGAGACAGGCTTGAAAACCTGCCACAGGCTACCCGCCTCCCAGGTGCAAAAGAAAAGAGCTTGGTTCTCCCCTGCCTGTGGAGTCTGCACACTGGATTTGCGCTCTTCCCCGAGTTCTGGCCAGGAGGCTTCTCACCTCGTTCAAATTTTTGCAGAGTTCAGCTAGAGATTTCCTTTTCCCTGTGGAGTTTTAGCCCCTGCTCCTCTGGCTGCCCTCCCTTTGGATCCCTGTGGTACAGGCAGGAATGGCCTTCTTGGGCACCCAGCGAGCTCCCAGGGCCTTTCTGCTGCTTCCCCTACCCCTGTATTTTGCTCGGCTCTCCAGATTGACTCAGCTCCTGGTAGAGTCAGAAACTTCTCCCACAAACAGACCTTCAGCTTCTCCAGTGGGGGTGTGTGTTTGGGAGAGGCGGGGTTCTCCCTTTCCCACTTCCGCAGTTGGGGCACCCACGGTATTTGGCAAGGGGGTCTTCCAGGTCCTGCAGGAGCAGTCCACTCCTTCAGAGGGTCTGTGGGTCCTCTCGGGATTGGTAGGCTTTTTCTTACAGTCGATCTGGAGCTAAAATTCACAATGCAAGCCTCCGCAGGCTGCTCTGTCTAGAGCTGACATCTAGTCCTGCTTTCTGTCCTCCATGATGATCTACAATCTTTATATACTTCTAAAATTTTATAATCATGGCAAAGCTATAAGCTATTCTGTATGTGTATAAAATATGTATATATGTCACACATACACACACACACATTCAAAATGCATTTATTGAGTGCCTAACCATAGGACAAAAATTTTCCTAGATGCCAGGGATACTTAGATGTCAAGAGTATAGGAACTTTATGAATTTCTAAAAAAGAACACAGTCCCCATTCTCAAGATAATTACCATCTAGTAAGAGAAGTCACTAATATTTCAAAGCTGAGGAGGGAAGGTATTTTGGATGGTGAGGGAAAAAGAAGAATAGAGTGTAATGACACCGTGATTTCTAATTTGGGTAAGTGGATTCCTTGGGAAAAGGGACAATTGTAGTACAATGTCTAGAAAAGAAATGCAGCAGGATGATGTTTTGAGCAGGCATAAAATTATACTGTTTTGGGATACGTTGGATTACTAGGCACCGCTGTCTGTATTTTACAAATGAGAAAACTGAAATGCGGAGAGGTTAAATAACTTGTCCTTAGTCACACAACTAGTTTAAGGCAGAGTGGGTAAAATACAAGTCTGGAATTAAAGAGCAAGATGTCATCTGGAGATAGAGTTTAGTAATCAATATGTAGGTAGTAAGGCTGTATTCAGTGATTTAGGAAATGACTTAAAATACAAAGAGATATGTATTCACACACACTAATTTTCCTCTCCTACTTACATGTAAGATACTGAAGTAATTATTACAGTGTTTTTGAAAGGTACAATAATGGAACTTTCTCATGATGTACCATCATAATTAAATTAGTAATATAGATCCTGCATAGCCACTTTTTGTCTGAATTTTTTTAATACAACTTTGTGATGCACTAATCCAAACATGTATATATACCTTCTTTATAAAATGAAGAATTTCTAACATCTTGTACAAAGGATGCTAAAATGAGAATAGAAATACCAATTCAACCTAGTCATAAGCCAGTTAGCATCACTAGTCATGGAGTTTTTATTTTTAGAAAAATTTAAACTATCTTAATTGTCATAAAGAACCAATACTTTACAAATCAAATCGCATCCACAGAAATATACCTGTATTAGACACATTTTTTAAAAATCTACTAGATTTCTAATTTTAAGAAAACATCAGTCCCTCCCCCCACATTGCTGCTTTTAATTTATTTAGGAAGTAATACATATTCATGGTAGAAAAATTATAAAATAAATAAAGATAGCGGAAAGTTTAAGTCGCTCCTTATCTTACCTTCAAGAAAAGCTGCTAGAAACATTCTTAACATTTTGATGGATGGCTTTTCAGCTTTTTCTATGCATAGATACAGTATTTTCTTTCTTTTTTTTTAATTTATTTTTATTTTTTTATTATTATACTTTAAGTTTTAGGGTACATGTGCACAATGTGCAGGTTACTTACATATGTATACATGTGCCATGCTGGTGTGCTGCACCCACTAACTCGTCATCTAGCATTAGGTATATCTCCCAATGCTATCCCTCCCCTCTCCCCCCACCCCACAACAGGTCCCAGAGTGTGATGTTCCCCTTCCTGTGTCCATGTGTTCTCATTGTTCAATTCCCACCTATGAGTGAGAATATGTGGTGTTTGGTTTTTTGTTCTTGCGATAGTTTACTGAGAATGATGATTTCCAATTTCATCCATGTCCCTACAAAGGACATGAACTTATCATTTTTTATGGCTTCATAGTATTCCATGGTGTATATGTGCCACATTTTCTTAATCCAGTCTATCATTGTTGGACATTTGGGTTGGTTCCAAGTCTTTGCTATTGTGAATAATGCCGCAATAAACATACGTGTGCATGTGTCTTTATAGCAGCATGATTTATAGTCCTTTGGGTATATACCCAGTAATGGGATGGCTGGGTCAAATGGTGTTTCTAGTTCTAGATCCCTGAGGAATCGCCACACTGACTTCCACAATGGTTGAACTAGTTTACAGTCCCACCAACAGTGTAAAAGTGTTCCTATTTCTCCACATCCTCTCCAGCGCCTGTTGTTTCCTGACTTTTTAATGATTGCCATTCTAAATGGTGTCAGATGGTATCTCATTGTGGTTTTGATTTGCATTTCTCTGATGGCCAGTGATGGTGAGCATTTTTTCATGTGTTTTTTGGCTGCATAAATGTCTTCTTTTGAGAAGTGTCTGTTCATGTCCTTCGCCCACTTTTTGATGGGGTTGTTTGTTTTTTTCTTGTAAATTTGTTGGAGTTCATTGTAGATTCTGGATATTAGCCCTTTGTCAGATGAGTAGGTTGCGAAAATTTTCTCCCATTTTGTAGGTTGCCTGTTCACTCTGATGGTAGTTTCTTTTGCTGTGCAGAAGCTCTTTAGTTTAATTAGATCTCATTTGTCAATTTTGGCTTTTGTTGCCATTGCTTTTGGTGTTTTAGACATGAAGTCCTTGCCCATGCCTATATCCTGAATGGTAAAGCCTAGGTTTTCTTCTAGGGTTTTTATAGTTTTAGGTCTAACGTTTAAGTCTTTAATCCCTCTTCAATTGATTTTTGTATAAGGTGTAAGGAAGGGATCCAGTTTCAGCTTTCTACATATGGCTAGCCAGTTTTCCCAGCACCATTTATTAAATAGGGAATCCTTTCCCCATTGCTTGTTTTTCTCAGGTTTGTTAAAGATCAGATGGTTGTAGATATGTGGCATTATTTCTGAGGGCTCTGTTCTGTTCCATTGATCTATATCTCTGTTTTGGTACCAGTACCATGCTGTTTTGGTTACTGTAGCCTTGTAGTATAGTTTGAAGTCAGGTAGTGTGATGCCTCCAGCTTTGTTCTTTTGGCTTAGGATTGACTTGGTGATGCGGGCTCTTTTTTTATTCCACATGAACTTTAAAGTAGTTTTTTCCAATTCTGTGAAGAAAGTCATTGGTAGCTTGATGGGGATGGCATTGAATCTGTAAATTACCTTGGGCAATATGGCCATTTTCACGATGTTGATTCTTCCTATCCATGAGCATGGAATGTTCTTCCATTTGCTTGTATCCTCTTTTATTTCCTTGAGCAGTGGTTTGTAGTTCTCCTTGAAGAGGTCTTTCACATCCCTTGTAAGTTGGATTCCTAGGTATTTTATTCTCTTTGAAGCAATTGTGAATGGGAGTTCACTCATGATTTGGCTCTCTGTTTGTCTGTTGGTGTATAAGAATGCTTGTGATTTTTGTACATTGATTTTGTATCCTGAGACTTTGCTGAAGTTGCTTATCAGCTTAAGGAGATTTTGGGCTGAGACAATGGGGTTTTCTAGACATACCATGTCATCTGCAAACAGGGACAATTTGACTTCCTCTTTTCCTAATTGAATACCCTTTATTTCCTTCTCCTGCCTAATTGCCCTGGCCAGAACTTCCAAAACTATGTTGAATAGGAGTGGTGAGAGAGGGCATCCCTGTCTTGTGCCAGTTTTCAAAGGGAATGCTTCCAGTTTTTGCCCATTCAGTATGATATTGGCTGTGGGTTTGTCGTAGATAGCTGTTATCATTTTGAAATATGTCCCATCAATACCTAATTTATTGAGAGTTTTTAGCATGAAGCGTTGTTGAATTTTGTCAAAGGCCTTTTCTGCATCTATTGAGATAATCATATGGTTTTTGTCTTTGTTTCTGTTTATATGCTGGATTACATTTATTGATTTGTGTATATGGAACCAGCCTTGCATCCCAGGGATGAAGCCCACTTGATCATGGTGGATAAGCTTTTTGATGTGCTGCTGGATTCTGTTTGCCAGTATTTTATTGAGGATTTTTGCATCAATGTTCATCAAGGATATTGGTCTAGAATTCTCTTTTTTGGTTGTGTCTCTGCCCAGCTTTGGTATCAGGATGATGCTGGCCTCATAAAATGAGTTAGGGAGGATTCCCTCTTTTTCTATTGATTGGAATAGTTTCAGAAGGAATGGTACCAGTTCCTCCATGTACCTCTGGTAGAATTCAGCTGTGAATCCATCTGGTCCTGGACTCTTTTTGGTTGGTAAGCTATTGATTATTGCCACAATTTCAGATCCTGTTATTGGTCTATTCAGAGATTCAACTTCTTCCTGGTTTAGTCTTGGGAGAGTGTATGTGTTGAGGAATTTATCCATTTCTTCTAAATTTTCTAGTTTATTTGCATAGAGGTGTTTGTAGTATTCTCTGATGGTAGTTTGTATTTCTGTGGGATTGGTAGTGATATCCCCTTTATCATTTTTTATTGCGTCTATTTGATTCTTCTCTCTTTTTTTCTTTATTAGTCTTGCTAGTGGTTTATCAGTTTTGTTGATCCTTTCAAAAAACCAGCTCCTGGATTCATTAATTTTTTGAAGAGTTTTTTGTGTCTCTATTTCCTTCAGTTCTGCTCTGATTTTAGTTATTTCTTGCCTTCTGCTAGCTTTTGAATGTGTTTGCTCTTGCTTTTCTAGTTCTTTTAATTGTGATGTTAGGGTGTCAATTTTGGATCTTTCCTGCTTTCTCTTGTGGTCATTTAGTGCTATAAATTTCCCTCTACACACTGCTTTGAATGTGTCCCAGAGATTCTGGTATGTTGTGTCTGTTCTCATTGGTTTGAAAGAACATCTTTATTTCTGCCTTCATTTCGTTATGTACCCAGTAGTCATTCAGGAGCAGGTTGTTCAGTTTCCATGTAGTTGAGCGGTTTTGAGTGAGATTCTTAATCCTGAGTTCTAGTTTGATTGCACTGTGGTCTGAGAGATAGTTTGTTATAATTTCTGTTCTTTTACATTTGCTGAGGAGAGCTTTACTTCCAAGTATGTGGTCAATTTTGGAATAGGTGTGGTATGGTGCTGAAAAAAATGTATATTCTGTTGATTTGGGGTGGAGAGTTCTGTAGATGTCTATTAGGTCCACTTGGTGCAGAGCTGAGTTCAATTCCTGGGTATCCTTGTTGACTTTCTGTCTCATTGATCTGTCTAATGTTGACAGTGGGGTGTTAAAATCTCCCGTTATTAATGTGTGGGAGTCTAAGTCTCTTTGTAGGTCACTCAGGACTTACTTTATGAATCTGGGTGCTCCTGCATTGGGTGCATATATATTTAGGATAGTTAGCTCTTCTTGTTGAATTGATCCCTTTACCGTTATGTAATGGCCTTCTTTGTAGTTGGCCAACAATAGTAGTTGTATCTTTATAGTTGCTTATACTGAAAACTTTGAAGTCATCCTTAAATTCTCTGCTATAACTCAAATAGGATCCATCAGCAAATTCTTTGTCAACTCCACCTCAATTTAAACCTGGAAATGTATGCTAGTCTCCATAGCTGTTCCTCTTACTCCTGTAACTTATTCTACATAGAGGAGCCAGAGTGATCCTTCTGAAATGTAAGATCATTTTTGTCACAGGTAGCGACTATCTGGGGCTGGTATCATGCAGTCAGTAAGAAGAATTTACCAAGACAGTTATATGTATATAAAGGCACATTTATTAAAGAAGGTATAAAAGTACATTCCAAGAAAGCAATAGGCAGGTCAGTGGGAGGGGAGCTGACTGCAAGAAGAAGAGTCTTGCTGGGGATTTTATAGAATGGTGCTTGTGCTGAAAAGGGCTTTGTGCAGTACTGATACTGAACTTTCCACCTCCAAATAACAGAATATACATTCTTCTCATCGCCACATGGCACATACTCTGAAACTGACCACATAATTGGACATAAAACAATCCTCAACAAATGCAAAAGAACCAAAATCATACCAAACACACTCTTGGACCACAGCACAACCAAAATAGAAGTCAAGACTCTGAAAATCACTCAAAACCATGAAATTATGTAGGAATTAAACAACATGCTCCTGATTGACTTTTGGGTAAATAATGAAATTAAGATGGAAATCATGAAGTTCTTTGAAACCAATGAGAACAAAGATACAACATACCAGAATCTGTGGGACAGAGCTAAGGCACTGTTAAGAAGGAAGTTCATACCACTAAATGTCCACATGAAAATGTAGGAAAGATCTCAAATTAACAACCTAATATCACAATGGAAAGAATTAAAGAAGCAAGAACAAATGCACCCCAAAGCTAGCAAAAGACAATAACCAAAATCAGAGCTAAACTGAAGGAAATCAAGACACACACAAAAAAATTCAAAACATCAACGAATCCAGGAGTTGGTTTTTTGAAAAAATAAGATAGTTAGGTTCCAAGCTAGACTAATAAAGAAGAAAAGAGAGAAGATCCCAATAAACACAATTAGAAATGACAAAGGGGATGTTACCATAGACCCCACAGAAACAAAAATAACTATGAATACCTCTATGCAGGCAAACTAGAAAACCTACAGGAGATAGATAAATTCTTTGACACACACACTTTCCCAAGACTGAAGCAGGAAGAAATTGATTACCTGAACAGAACAATAATGAGCTCTGAAATTGAATCAGTAATAAATAGCTTACCAACCAAAAAAAAAAAAAAAAAAGCCCAGAACCTGATGGATTCACAGCCAAATTATACCAGATATACAAGGAATAGCTGATACAATTTCTTTTTTTTTTTTTGAGACAGAGTCTCACTCTGTCACCCAGGCTGGAGTGCAGTGCAATGATCTCGGCTCACTGCAACTTCTGCCTCCCGGGTTCAAGTGATTCTCCTGCCTCAGCCTCCCGAGTAGCTGGGACTACAAGTGCACACCACCACACCTGGCTAATTTTTGTATTATTAGTAGATATGGGGTTTCATCATGTTGGCCAGGCTGGTCTCAAACTCCTGACCTTGTGATCCACCTACCTTGGCCTCCCAGAGTCCTGGGATTACAGGTGTGAGCCACCATGCCTGGCCAGCTGATACCATTTCTGATGAAACTATTCCAAAATATTGAGGAGGAAAGACTCCTCCCCAACTTATTCTATGAGGCCAGTATCATCCTGATACCAAAACCTGGCAGAGATAGAACAAAAAAGGAAAGCTTCAGGCCAGTATCCTTGATGAACATTATTACAAAAATCCTCAACAAAATACTGGCAAACTGAATCCAGCAGCACGTCAAAAAGCTAATCCACCATGATCAGTGCAAGGTTGGTTCAACATACGTAATCAATAAATGTGATTCATCACATAAACATAAATAAAGACAAAAACCAATGATTATCTAAATAGACACAGAAAAAGCTTTTGATAAAATTCAACACGCCTTTGCATTAAAAACTCTCAATAAACTACATATTGAAAGAACATTCTTCAAAATAATAAGAGCCATCTATGACAAACCTACAGCCAACATTATACTGAATGGGCAAAATCTGGAAGTATTCCCCTTGAAAACTGGCATAAGACAAGGTTGCTCTCTCTCACCACTTCTATTCAAAGTCGTATTGGAAGTCCTAGCCAGAGCAATCAGGCAAGAGAAAGAAATAAAGGGCATCTAAATAGGAAGATAGGGTATGGAGATAATTTACAAGAAGAGTAAAAAATTTAAAAAATATTGTCCTGTAAGAATGGAATTGGAGGAGGGTAGAGTGAGATAGGAGACTTATTTTTCATTTTAAGACTTACAGTCCTTTTTGGGATGCGGGGCAGGGCAGGGCAGGATTATAACTTGTAAAGATTTAGTCAGTTACATACATATTAAACACCTGAGATGTATTTCTTTTTTAATGAGAATTTTGGTATTTGTAAGTTTTACCAAATTAAGTATTAAGTCCTTGATTTTATGATATCCTTTTACTTCTTTCTTGGTTTTCTACTGAGCTCTCACTTTCTAGTATTTAGGGCATTGTTTTTAGGGAATCATGTAGAACAAGTGCTTTAATCTTTCTTTATTCATAGAAAGTCCTGTTAAGATATTTTTATTTATATAAATTTAATTTTGGAAAAAAGGCCAAAAAGTTAGAATATATTTGAGTTTTTATTAATCTAAGTGAATCATTATCTATAAAGATGATGTCAGGTTTTTTACCTTACTAATATTTTTTCATGTCCAATATAGCAAAATATTTATAATTTCAATGATAAAAGGTACCTAAATTCATTTAGATTATTATAGGCCTTTGGACTACATTTAAACCAGATTGGTAAGTTATGGCTTATTTTACTTATATATACTCCCTTAAAATATGAAAAATTTTTATATTCAAAAAGTAGTAGTCTGAATAAGTGAGAAGTGTAATAATTATTTTCTATATACCATATTCCATCAATTTTAAGATATACTTCTTTGTTTTACATTTCAATATTTCTGACAAATAATGTTGTGCCATAGTTTGTCAGCATTGTTTTTCCTTTCTTGGTGCATAAAGTAATTGTGCATCTTTTATTTGATTTTGTCCTGGAATTGATGAAATATGTTATATATGTTATGTGGAATATGCACTGTTTGAAGAAATCATAATAATTAGATAATACCCTCTCCCTCCTCATGGTCTCACCTCCAATCCCCAGACCATGACACTGAGCTTTGTCAAAAATTCTAACTGGATGTCCTGTTTAGATCTTTTAAACCTATTATTATTGTGAAGTACAACTCACAAAGAAAAATAGATAAAATATAAATGTATAGCATAAAAAATTTATGAAGTGTATACTGAGTAATCACCACTCTAAGTATAGATAAAGCAAACATAGTCAGCACCGTGAAAGGCCTGCTTTTATCACTTCAAAATCACAACCCCCCACGAGCTCCTGAGACATAGTTACTGTAATAATACATTTTTGGTAGTGACTTCATTGTTTTTTTATTTTACTCTAAGAATGTACCTTACCTCCTATATACTATAGTTATGCTTGATTTTTACTTTCTATAAATGGAAAAGTAGATCCACCAATAAACTATTAGAACTGATAAACAAGTTCAGTAAATTTGCAGGATACAAAATCAACATAGGAAAATCAGTAGCATTTCTATATGCCAACAGTGAACAATATGAAAAAGAAACAAGGAAAGCAATTCCATTTACAATAGCCACAAATAAAATTAAATACCTAAGAATTAACCAAAGAAGTAAGAGATCTCTACAATGAAAATTATAAAATACTGATGAAAGAAATTGAATACCAAAAAAAGGAAGGATATTTCATTTTCATTAATTGGAAAATTCAGTGTCCCATCACACCAAGCAATCTATAGACCCAATGTATTTGCTGTCAAAATACCAATGACATTCTTCACAGAAATAGAAAAAATTATACAAAATTATGTGGAACCACAAAAGACCCAGAATAGCCAAAGCTATCATGAACAAAAAGAAACAAAACTGGAAGAATCAAATCACCTGCAAATACTATAGAGCTATAGTAACCAAAGCAGCATGACACCAGCATAAAAATAGACATACAGACCAATGGAACAGAATAGAAATCCAGAAATAAATCCATGCATCTATAGTAAACTCATTTTCTAGAGAGGTCAAGAATATGCACTGGGGAAAGGACACTCTCTTCAATAAATGGTGCTGGGAAAACTGGATATTCGTATGCAAAAGGATGAAAGTAGACCTCAATCTCTCACCATATACAAAAACCAAATCAAAATGCATTAAAGACTTAAATTTAAGACTTGAGGCCAGTTGCAGTGGCTTATGCCTTTAATCTCAGCAATTTGGAAGCCAAGGCAGGAGGATCTTTTGAAGTCAGGAGTTTGAGACCAGCCTAGGCAACACAGTGAGATGCTGTCTGTACAAAAATCTTTCAAAAACTTAGCTGGACATGGTGTTGCACACCTGTAGTCCCAGCTACTTGGAAGGCCAAGGTGGGAGAATCACTTGAGCCCAGGAGTTCAAGGCTGCAGTGAGTCATGATTGTGCCACTGCATTCCAGCCTGAGCAACAAAGCAAAACCCAGACTCAAAAAAACAAAAGAAAACAAACAAACAAACAAAAACCGAACACCTGGAACTCTGAAAATACTACCAAAAACTGTGGATCATTGATTGGCCTGAGCAAAGATTTCCTGAGTAATACCTCAAAAGTACAGGCAACCAAAGCAAAAATGGACAAATGGGATTCCATCAAGTTGAAAAGCTTCTGCACAGCAAAGGAAGCAGTCAACATAGTGAAGAGACAACACACAGAGTGGGAGAATATATTTGCAAGCTATTCATCTGACAAGGGATTAATAACCAGAATATGTAAAGAGTTCAAACAACTCAATAGGAAAAAAAATCAAATAATCCAATTAAAAAGTGTGCAAAAGATCTAAATGGACATTTCTCAAGAGGAGACATACAAATGGTTAACAGGTACGTGAAAAAGTGTACAACGTCATTAATCAACAGAGAAATGCAAATCAAAACTACAATGAGATATCATCTCACTCTAGTTAAAATGTCCTTTATTCAAAAGACAGGCAATAATGAATGCTGGCAAGGGTATGGAGAAAGGGGAACCCTTTTACACTGCTGGTGGGAATGTAAATTAGTATAACCACTATGGAGAACAGTATGAAGGTTTCTCAAAACACTTAAAAAAGAACTACCATATGATCCAGCAATTCCACTGCTAGGTATATATCTAAAAGAAAGGAAATCAGTAAGTATATGAAAGAGATGTCTGCACTCTCATCTTTATTGCAGTACTATTCACAATAGCTAAGATGTGGGATCATACTAAGTATCCATGGATGGATGAATGGCTAAATAAAATGTGGTATATATACACAATGGAATATTATTCAGCCACAAAAAGAATGAAATCCTGTCATCTGCAACAACATGGATGGGCCTGGAGATTATATTATGTGAAATAAGCCAGGCATAGAAAGACAAATTTCCCATATTCTCATACGAGGGAGCTAAAAATTAAAATAGTTAAGCTCATGAAGATAGAGAATAGAATGATGGTTAGCACAGCCTGGAAAGGGTAGCAAGGGAAGGGAGAAAAGTCGGGATGATTAATGGGTATAAAAACATAGTTAGAATGAATAAGATCTAGTATTTGATAGCCCAATGGGTGACTGTAGTCAACAATAATTTATTGTATATTTTAAAATTACCAAAAGAGTGGAATTGGAATGTTCCTAACACAAAGAAATGACACATGTGGTTGGGCATGGTGGCTCATGCCTATAATCCCAGTACTTTGGGAGTCTGAGGCAGGGGGATCACTTGAGGCCAGGAGTTCAAGACCAGCTTGAGTAATATAGTGAGACTCTGTGACTACAAAAAAAATTAAAAATTAGCCAGATGTAGTGGTGTTTTCCTGTAGTCCTAGCTACTTGGGAGACTAAGGGGAGGGGATTGCTTAAGCTCAGGAGTTTGAGGCATGAGCTGTGGTCATGCCTTTGCTTTCTAGCCTGGGAAACAGAGTGAGATCCTGTATCAAAAAAAAAAAAAAGTCCTTGAGGTGATAGATACCTCAGTTACCCTTGTGTGATTATTACATATTAAATGCCTGTATCAAAACATCATATGTACCCCATAAATATATACCCCACCTGTTATGTACCCATAACCATTAAAAATTTAAAAAATTTAAAAGTTCAAATCGCTGAATTTTTTACATCAAAGCTCTGAAAGAAACTATAAATAAATAATTTGGTTTTAGATGTATTTCATTTGTGCAGTTTATAGTTGGGTTTTGTTCTGTGATACAGGGGTTTTTTTTTTTTCTTAATGGGTGTTTTTAGCCTATTCACACTTACTGATTCATAACATCAATTACCATAACTATAACTACAATGCCCACACATACCTAGTTCTTTAGTTGGTGTTATCCAATACAGTAGCCATTAGCCACATGTGGCATTCAGTACTTCAGATATAACTAGTGTGACTGAGGAACTGAATTTTTCATTTAAATTTAATTTTAATTAATTTAAACTTAAAAATTGATGCTACATTGTTTAGGGAAATTGAAGAAGATGTAAGTAAATAAAAAGATATACTTGTTAATGAATTGAAACACTTCATATTCTTAAGATGGCAATACTTCTGAATTGATCTGCAGATTCAATTCAGTTGCTATCAATATTCCAACATTCTTTTTTGTTTGTAGAAATGGACAAGCTAATCCCAAAATTTGTATGGAATTGCAAGGGACTCTAAATAGCCAAAACAATCTTGAAATACAAAATCAGAGGACTCATACATCCTAACTTCAGAATTTTCTACAAAGCTCCAGTAATCAAAACAATATGCTGCTAGCACAAGGATATACATACAAATCAACAGAATTAAATTAAAATTCTGGAAATAAACCCATACATTTGTGGTCAGTGGAGTTTTGAAAAGGGTACCAAAACCATTCAATGGATAAAGAATAGTGTTTTCACTAAATGATGCTGGGACAACTGACTATCCACATGCAAATGAGTGAATTTAGACCTTAACCTCATATGAAATGCAAAAATTAATTCAAAAATGGATCTAAGACCCACATGTAAGAGCTAACACAATAAAATCTTATAAGGAAACATAGGTGTAAATTTTTCATAACCCTGAGTTAGGCAATTGTTTTTTAATATGACACCAAAAATGTAAATAACAAAAGAAAAAATAGATAAATTGGACTTCATCAAAATTTAAAACTTGCATTATCAAAAGATACCATCAAAAAATGAAAGAGTGACCCAAAGACTGGGAGAAAATTTTTGCAAATCATACACAAAATCAGGGTCTAGTATTTAGAATACATAAAGAACTGCTACAACTTGGCAACACAAATATAAACAACCCGATTTTAAAATGGGCTAAGGACTTAAATAAACATTTCTCCAAGGAAGATGTACAGTGGCCCAGAAGCACATGAAATGATACTCAACATCATTAGTCATTAGGGAAATGCAAATTCAAACCACAGTAAGACACCACTTTATACTCACAAGGATAGCTATATCCAAAATCAACAAAACATAATAAGTATTGGTGAGGATGTGGAGAAGTTGCATTTCTGGTGGGAAAATGTAAAATGATGCAGTTGCTGTGGAAATAAGTTTGATAATTTCTCTAAGTTAAATACAGAATTACCACATGATTCTGAAATTCTTCTCCTAGATATCAATTCTCTTTCCACCCAAGATAACTGAAAACATGCGGTCAAACAGAAACTTTTACATGAATGTTCATTATTCTTAATAGCCAAAAGTGGACACAATGCAAGTGTTCACCAGTTGGTGAATAAATTTAAAATGTGATGTATCCATACAATGGAGTATTACTCAGCCTTAAAATGGGATGAAGCGTTGATACCTACCACAACATGGATAAACTTTGAAACCATTATAGGTGAAAGGCGTCAAACACAAAAGCCACATATTTTGTGATTCAGTTCCCCAAAAGTACACTTTGTGTTTTTGTTTCTTGTTCTCTTTTTGGTTTTCAGATTATTATGCCCTGGGGGAAAAGGGAGCATGGCAATTTATCACTATAAGAAGACCAGAATTTCTCCCACCATTCTTTGTTAACATGATATATTTCCCAGTTCTTTAACTATACATAAACAGTTTATGAAACAGACATAAAGGTGTATACAAGTATACAAATGAATAAATAAGATAATTCTAGGCATTCTTGTTTTGGGGCTTGATCTTAAAATATATTTTTGATGTTTCACCATTGAATATTGTATTTGCTCTGGGTTTTACTGGGGTATTTTGTTTTTGTTTTTAGTTATGAATACTCTGGTTAAGAATGTTTTCTTCTATTCTTAATGTGCTATGGGGTACTTTTTATAATTGGTTTCTTGTTTGTTTTTAAATCGTTAATGAGTCTTGTAAATGTATCACATGCTTTTTCTGCATCTATTAAAATTATTCATATAGTTTTTCTCCTTGTTCATGTGGTAAATTACATTAATAGAAATGTTTTATGGCCCTTACATCTCCTTGTTTTTCTGGAATAAACCTATTGTGAACAATAGTATATTATCTTAATCCCTTGTTGTATTCCATTTTAAATGCTTTGTTTACAGTTTTTACATCCATATGTGTATGAATTTTACATCTATATGTGTATGAATTTCAGTAAAGTCTATAAAATAGACTTTATTTTCCTTTCTTGTATTGTCTGCTTGAAAAATCAATGGTATATTGGTGACATCATCCTCTCCCCAAGAATTTGGGGATAATTTTCTCCTTGTAAACTGTAAGTCCATTTTGTATGATATTAAGATTCCCACCAGTTTTCTTTTGTTTAATATTTTTCTAGTATATTCTTATCTTTTTAAAACTGTATTTCATCTAATCTATCATGCCTTCCATTGTAAATGCATTTCAATTCAGAGACATTATGTAAGAAAATGGCATGACAGCAATAGTAAGATGTCATCAATTACAAGCTGTACTATGATTCCAGATATGTCAATATATTAAAAATATACACCAAGAATTTATGAAATACATTGTTTTCAACCTTTCTGTGTCCTTATGTCTTTAAGTATGTGTTTAAAAATGTTACTTAACTGGAATTAAAAAAAAACTACTCCGGCAGGCTTTGTCTTTTAACTGAAGTGCTTAAGATATTTACTGATATATTTGGAATGATATCTACTATTGCATTTTTTGCCTTCTACTTATCCTATGACTTTGCATTTCTTTTTATATCCTTTATTCTTTCTTGCCTTTTACAAATTTCTCTTTTCCCTCATTTTATTCCTCTACCAGTTTAAAAGTTATGCACATAACTTTTCTTCTATGATACCCCATTAATTTTAATATGCAGATTTAAAATTTAACAAAGTTGAAGGTTAATGTCTTTACCACCCATCCAAGTAAATGAGAATCTTGCATTGCTTTGCCTCTAAATTTTTCCTTTTTGACATATGCTTTTGATGTCCCGAATTTTACATTTGTCATTGATTTATTTAAAAATTTCTAAAGTAGGCATAATTGTTACTGTTTTATACTCTCAATATTTGTTTAGGTTTACCCATAAGTTTACCATTCTCTTTGTGTACCTTCTTGCAAAACAACCTTCCTTATTAGGTCATTTTACTTTTTCTTATATTATAACCATCAGAAGTTGTTTTAGTGGGGATTTGTTGGCACATCTCTAACGTTTTAGTTTTCTGAAAATATGCTTATCTCATCCTCTTTTTAGGAAGATAATTTTGCTGGATATGTGTCCTTGTATGACAGGGGTTTTTTAGTATTTTGAAAATATTTAATAAATATTACACTTTTTTCTGTCTATCTTCCATTTTACAAGTTCTTTCTTCAATTGTATCTGATTTTTAGGCAATCCATTTATTTTTATTGTGAAATACATTTAATTTTTAAAGTTCTGTTTGGCTGTTTTCAAAGCTGGAACTTTATTATCAGCCATTAATTTTTTTCTGTTTTATCCAAAACCATGGTATGACAGGCAAATATTCTTTGCTATTTGTTTGTTTATTGGTTTGTTTTCTAGATCCCTGACTAAGAACATCTTGTTGGTCAGACTTTTCTTTTGGCAGAGGTATCTGTTTCAAATTTGCAACATGCGTAGATGCCATAGTCAGGAGCCCAACAGATGAAAACACAGATCACAGAGGATGAAATATATAATGTCTGTCTTTGTGTTTATGATATTTTTCAACATTACATCTATGAAATTATAATTTCTGACCTTGATTTCTTTAGTTCATGTCTTTCTGGTATTTTCTCTCTCTTCAGTTTTACCTGTTTGGTATTTATTTGTGTCCTTTTTAAGTGTAAAAAATTTTATTAGCACATTTAATTTAAGCAACATTCAACAAAGACAATAGTCAAAGATTACTTTATGTAAATTTAAAGACCAAACTGATATTTTTTGAAGGACTTCATAGTATCTGTGGTAAGACATGTGTAAGACTTGCTCCTTACATTCATTTTCAGTCTTCTGAGTTGACAGTTATACTGGGTCTAGTCTTTTACTATTTTGGTAATTTAACATGCTTATTTAATTTAAAGTATCAAATCAATAGCTTTATTAGCTTAATTAACTTTAAGTCTCAAATAAATATCTTTATTCTTGAATGAGCTCTTTTGAAAAAATATTAGACTGAGGCAGGTACATGTACAGGTTTGTTAGTTGGATATATTGCTTAATGGTGAGCTTTGGGCTTCTAGTGTAACCATCTCAAATAGTGAACATTGTACCCAATAGGTAATTATATGACCTTTGTCCCCTCCTCAGTCTCCCCACTTTTAGAGTCCCTAGTGTTTATTATTTCCATCTTTATGTCCATGTTTACCCATGTGAGAATATGTAGTATTTGATTTTCTGTTTCTGAGCTATCTCACTTAGGATAATTGGCTTCCAGGTCCATTCATGTTGCTGAAACAGGACACAATTAATTTCATTCTTCTTTATGGCTAAATGGTATTCCACCATGTATATATACACCACATTTTCTTTATTCAGTATTTTATTGATGAATACTTAGGTTGATTTGATACATTTGCTATTGTGAATAGTGCTGTGATAAACATACAAGGGAGAGTGTCTTTTTGATACAACGATTAATTTTCCTTTGGGTAGGAAATCCCAATTCATCTGGTCCTATGCTCTTTTTTGTTGGGAGATTTTTTTTAATTACTGGTTCATTTTAATTACTTTTTATTGGTCTGTTCAGGATTTCTGTTTCTTCCTGGTTCAATCTTGGGAAGTGTAGGTTTCAGAAATTTTTTTTCTAGGTTTTCTAGTTTGTGCACATAAAGAGGCTCATAAAAATCTTTGATAATCTTTTGTATTTCTGCAATATCAGCTGTAATGTAACCGTTATTTCTGATTGTGCTTATTTTAATTTTCTCTTGTTTTTTCCATTGTTAATATAGCTAGTGGTCTATTAATTTTTTTAACCTTTCAAAAAACCAACTTTTCATTTAACTGATCCTTTGGGTTGATTTTTTTTTGTCTCAGTTTCATTCAGTTCTGCTCTGATGTTTGTTATTTCTGTCTTCTGCTACTTTTGAGTATGGTTTGTCCTCGTTTTTCTAGTTCCTTGAAGTGTAACATTTGGTTGCTAATTTGAGATCTTTCTATCTTTTTGATGTTGGCATTTAGTGCTATAAACTTTCCTCTTAGCCCTGTTTTTGCCATATCCCAGAGGTTTTGGTATATTATGTCTCTTTTCATTTGTTTCAAAAAGAATGTTGGATTTCTGCCTTATTTTGTTTACCCAAATGTCTTCCAGGAGCAAGTTGTTTAGTTTCTACATACTTGTGTAATTTTGATGGTTCTTCATGGTATTGATTTCTAATTTTATTCCACTGTGGTCTGAGAAGATATTTGATATGATTTCAGTTTTTAAAAATTTATTGAGACTTGCTTTATGACCAACCATATGGTCAGTTTTGGAGAATGTTCTCTGCACAGGTGAGAAAAATATATATTCTGTGGTTATTGGGTAGCATGTTCTGTAAATATCTATTAGGTCCATTTGCTCTAGAGTCTAATTTAAGTCCAGAGTATTTTTTTTTTATTTTCTGCCTCAGTAATCTGTCTAGTGCTATTAGTAGAGTGTTGAATTCCCTCACTATTATTGTATTACCCTATATCATTTCTTATGTCTAGTAGTATTTGTTTTATGAATCTGGGTGCTCCAGTGTTGGATGCATATATATTTAGAACAGTTAAATCTTCTTGTTGAATCAAACCCTTTATCATTATATAATGACCTTCCTTGTCTTTTTCACTGTTGTTGATTTAAAGTCTGTTTTGTATGATATAAGAATAGCTACTCTTGATCGTTTTGTTTTCCTGTTGCATGATACATCTTTTTCAAACTCTTCCATTTTGAGTCTGTAAGTGTATTTACCTGTTAGGTGGGTCTTCGAAGATGGTTGGGTCTTGTTTTTAATCCAGCTTGTCAGCCTATATCTTTGTGAGGCCATGTGAGGTTCTGTTCCTGTCACAGTGTTGATAACTAGTTGCTTTGTAATCTCAATTGTGTAATTGCTTTATCGGCTGTCTGAGCTTTGGACGTATGTATGCATTTATGATGGTGAGTATCGTCCTTTTTTTATGTTTAGAGCTCCTTTGATCATTTCTTGTAGGACTAGTCTAATCGTGATTAATTCCCTTAGTGCTTGCTTGTCTGGGGAAGGACTTTATTTCTTCTTCATTGATGAAGCTTAGTTTGGCAGTATATAAAATTCTTGGCTAGTGTTTTTTTCTCTAAGAAGGCTGAAAAAAGACCCCCAGTCTCTTCTGGCTCATAAGGTTTCTTCTGAGAAGTCTGTTGTTAATCTGATAGAATTTCCTTTATAGGAAATTCTTTTATTTCTTTTCCTTTAGGAAATTTCTTTTCTTTCACGTTGACCTTGGATAGTCTGATGATCATATGCCTTGGTGGTGTTGATTTTGTATAGTATCTTTCAGGTGTTCTCTGAATTTCTTGTATCTGAATGGCTATATCTCTAGCAAGATCAGGAAAATTTTCCTGAATTATTCCCTCAAATATTTTTTCCAAACATTTTACTTTTTCATCTTCTCTCTCAAGAATAGCCAAAAGTTGTAGGTTTGGTTGCTTTACATAATCTAATGTTTCTTGAAGGCTTTGTTGATTTTTAATTTTTTTTCTTTTTTTCTGACTGTGTTAATTAGAAAAATCAATCTTCAAGCTCTGAAATTCTTTCTTTTGCTTGGTCTTTTATACTGTTAAAGCTTTCAAATGTATTTTGAAATTCCTTCAGCGAATTTTTCATTTCTTCAAGTTCTGTTTGGTTTTTAAAAATATCTACCTAACTCATCTTTCAGGTCCTGAATTGTTTTTCTGATCTCTTTGTGTTGTTTCCCAACCTTCTCTTAGATCTCATTTAACTTCCTTATAATCTACATTTTGAATTCTTTATTTGTCATAACAGAATTTTCATTTTGGTTAGGATCTATTCCTAGAGAACTAGTGTAATCCTTTGGAGATGTCAAAACACTCTATCCTTTTGTGCTGCCAGAGTTCTTACACTAATTCCTTCTAATCTGAGGAAGCTCCCTTAAGGATGTGACTGTTAGGTATATTGTCTAAGATCATTTGGCTTCATTTCTAGTTGCTTTCAGGAAGCCAAGACTCTGTATGAGTCCTTGGTTATAGATAGCTTTTTTTGCAGTGGCTTTCTCAAATGCTACTTGTCGTAGCAATGTATTGGTCATATGATCCAACTCACTATCTTCTGCAAGGCTGAGAGTGTGTAGGTCCCAGGGCACTTATCTCATAACCTAGCACTATGCCCTTCTATCCTCAGATTTCTTTATTTGGTGATGCAGTTCAATCTCCAGTTCAGTAAGTTGCACTTCAGAGTAAGAGCCAGCTTTCCCTGGGGTATGCTGATGACAAGTGGTAGCACCAGCCCCAACATATGGCGGGGGTAGTTCATGATAGGATGCACTGAGGTCTCTGGGGATGGGAGTTGAGAGGACTGCATCAGCTCCTTGTCCTAGGCAGGTAGGAATGCAATCAGCTTCCCTGTCACACCCTTGTCACAGGGCTTGCAACTTTCAGTTTAGATAGACACTATCTTTATCTCTAGGCCACAATGCAACTGAGGTTTGTGGAAAATGCCTGTCTGTCTACTACCAACAAAATAACCCAAGGGAGAAAACTTTTCACCCAGCCGAAAACAAACAACTCTGCTGGCGATCTGTACTCTATTGCAGGAATGTTGCCACTCTGTGTAGGGAGAGGGAGGTGAGTCATACCCTTTATTTAAGCCCAGGTGATAGGCACACTTTTAGTGGAGAATAGTACTGTCTCCAAGTGTGCCTGTGTCAACCTCTAGTAGGAAAAGCCTTCGCTGCATCTGCAGTAGTAGGTCAGGGCACAGGAGAAGGGCACAGTCACCCATCTTGTCACAAATGTGGGGTTCTCAGGCAGGAGAGAAGTTGCAATCTGGTTCCTTTGTCCCAGTGAGTGCTTTGGTGGGCTGCACCTCTCCCTCCCCTAGGAGTGGCCCACACCGAGGACTAGATCTCCAGGGATCCTGCAGCTCCCCAGGGTCCTGATGGTCCCCTCTGGTTGCAGATTCAGAGAAGACTCTGAGAAATGTTTGTGGGGAATCTGGTGATGCAGTGACACAAGGGCTGAGATTCCCTGAATCTGCACAACGAGTATCGCACCCACTGCTTCAGCTCAGGTTTGGGGGCAATGTGAGCCCAGCTGCACAAGCTGACCACCTGGTGCTCTGCCCACAGGATGTTTCCAGATTACTATTGGCAGAATTGCCCAGGTTTGCAGGGGCAGAGGGGCTCTCTGACAATTCACTTCTCAGCAGTTTGTCACATTGGTGAGGGGTGCAAAGAAATGCCCCTACCTACCCTTTCTATGGGACTCCAAGTTCCTTAATGGTCAGTCTCTCCCAGGCTCTTGCTGCCTTCCTTTTCTGCCTCCCAGCTGTTTCCTGCATGGTCTCCAACAGGTTTCAACACTCTTATCTCAACTTTCCACTCAGGCTATGATTATTCATCTATAAATTTGATCTGCTTTCTGAGGAGAACTGGCATCTGATGTATCTAGTCAGCCATCTTGGGAAAAAGTTGAATGAACTCTTTTTTTTTTTTCAATTATGATAGAATCAGAAATCCCAAATATTTAGAAAAACCATGTGTATTTTATAGATCACTCATTATTGTCCAACCACCACCACTCCTTTTTTTTGAGACGGAGTCTCTCTGTCACCCAGGCTGGAGTGCAGTGGCACAATCTCAGCTTACTGCAACCTCTACCTCCTGGGTTCAAATGATTCTTATGCCTCAGCCTCCCATGTAGCTGGGATTACAGGCATGTGCCACCACGCCCAGCTATTTTTTTTTTTTTTTTGTATTTTTAGTAGAGACAGGTTTTCACCATGTTGCCCAAGCTGGTCTTGAACTTCTGGCCTCAAGTGATCCGCCCACCTTGGCCTCCCAAAGGGCTGGTATTACAGGAATGAGCTAATATGCCCAGCCCCTTATATAATTGTCTTAACTGGACCTGAACATCTGGGGTTTGGCTATTGAGTTTAACTCATTTAAATTGTGTGTGATTACTTTTGTACTAGGGTTTATTTCTGCCATCTCCTTTTTTGTTTTGAATTTTCTTTGGCAGGTTTGGTTGTTTTTTGTTTTGTTTTGTTTTGTTTGCTCCTGCATTTGACAGATTGTGGTTTCTTTGAATACTCTCAAGGTAATACAGACTATTTTTATGCTTCTACTTATTTTTTAATATAATTGCTCATATTTAAAATTTTATTTTTCCATGTTTATTTTTAAGTATATTAACACCAGTATTTTTCTTCTTTTTTTTTATTATACTTTAAGTTCTGGGATACATGTGCAGAACGTGCAGGTTTGTTACATAGTTATACATGTGCCATGGTGGTTTGCTGCACCCATCAACCCATTATCTAGGTTTTAAGCCCTGCATGCATTAGGTATTTGTCCTAATGCTCTCCCTTCCCTTGCTCCCCACTGCCAACAGGCCGCGGTGTGTGATGTTCCCCTCCCTGTGTCCATGAATTAACACCAATATTTTTCTTCTAAATTGGACCATCATCTTAGCACATTTTTATCTCTATTGAGTTTCTCTTCTACCATTTTTTTCACCTTATGCTCTGCTTCTGTTCTATAGTCATATCCTGAGGAATTTTAGATATGGATTGTGATAGATGTTCTCTCTGCTCTACCTCTGCTTGTCCTTGTTCCCCTCAGTAGGAAATGCTTAGGAGTGACTGGATCTTCTGAACCTGTTGTTATCTTCTCTTTGCTAAAGCTGAGCTGATCTTGACACACTACCCTGTATTATACCCCACTGTTATTAGCTGGAACTGCTGTTGTCTGCCTTGTATTGAAGATTGAGCAGGCAGCAATCCACCTCGGGCAGTGAAAGGAACCCAGTTAGAAGGCTGTTTCCAGCGCATCTAGAGTTTCTGTTTCTCTTCTCTGGAAATCTTTTCTCTCTCTTTTGGGCATTCTTGGTTTATATCTTAATACCTTATATCTGTAAACCCACTTGAACTTCTGTAGTATCTCTAGGGTTGGTTTCCGAGAGGGAGTCAGCAGCCCATGCTAACTTGCCATTTTTTTTTCAGGAAGCTTAAATCTTTATAATATCATTATAATTTTGTATTTAGTACTAAATATTTTCGAATTTGTTCACCGTAGCTTGCAAATGTAAAAGTGTTTAAGAATCAAGTTGGAACATATTTTTAACTTTTTTTTAAAATTTTGATCTTCCCAGTTCTGATAGTATCAGCAGTGATGAGGAGGAGCTAAGGACTTTGGGAAGCAGTGGTAGCGAAAGCAGTACTCCAGAGAATGTCGGACCTCCTTTCCTCATGGATGAGAACAGTTGGTTCAACAAGTGTAAGAGAGTTAAACAAAAGTATCAGCTTACCCTGGAACAGAAGGTATTTTAAAATTATCAAAACGTACTTAATTTTATTCTAGTTATTGCCTTTGAACTGTGACTGCCAAAATATTTTTTAACTGAATAAAATTATTTATCCATTGCTGCTTCTCTTCTGTTTTTGAATTGTCCTCCTCTTAATGAAAAATCAGGCAACTGTAGAAGATACTTTTGTTTGTTGAACTTTTTCCAATTTTATGTTTTAACATAAAAACAAGCCATTATTTTAATAAGCAGCTTAATTTATGTATTTGAGATTTTAGTTTCTATGATAAATTTTATAAAAGATGATTGGTTTGTGAAAATGCAGTGATTGCCTAAGCACGTACATCTGATTTTTTGAAAATTAGATATTTTAGCAGCTCTTGTGTGTTAAGCACTGTAGTAGGCAAAGTGGAGTATATAACAGAAAGAAAACAAACTCTATTATTTTAAGGAGTTTGTAGCCATTACTTTTTTACTGTATTTTCTATTTTTCTCTTTTTGTCTTCTTTTAATATCATTATTCATAGATGATATATATATATAAGGAAAGCCCAATGGAATTAGTGATAGAAATATTCAAAAAATTAAAAATGCAGTGGGGAAATTGTCATAATTTTATAAATATAAATAATTTTATCTATACAGATAGCTATTGCTTAGAAAATATTTTTAAATCCAAATTACATAGCTATAAACATTTGCATAATGCATATGAAGAAAACTTTTCATGCGCTATTAAAGACTTGTGGTACCAGCAAGAATTCAGACTAAGATAATCTGAAAGTATCTACATTGCAAAAATATGAAAATGCTGAGTAGAATACAATTTTTTAAAAGATTCATTCAGAGCTACTCTCTCAAGAAAAGGAACTCCCTAGGGATCAGAAACATACACCTAACACAAGAAGAATATGTGCATATATTAGAGAACTGTAGGCCCCAGGGATGGGGGTGAAGGCATAATTCCTTAACCTAGAAACTTGCATTTTAACACCAACAGGGAAACAGCAGGTATAGGTCCCTGTCATTCAAGGTGGAAATTGAACCTAGAATGTAGGAGTGAGGTGCAAAATGGCAGAGTAAACAAATAAATTTGTAGAGAAAGCTTGATTACATGCAATAGCAAAAATAATGACCAATATGGGGTGACATTGGTACACTGAAATATGTTTAACTGGCTCTTTTAGAGGAGATGGAGACAGAAGCCCTCATTTGTAGTGTTTGCCAATTTTTCTGTGATAAATACTGCCATCATGGCCAATTTAAAGCTACCAATATGACATCACTGAATGCAAAATTGGGAAGAGGTGCACAGTAGAACAGCATTCCATAGTATTTCTACTAAGATAGATGAAATAGATGTAAATGACTGTAAGAACATAGATAATAGTTAAAATACGGTGAAATAATTAGAAAGTGATGAATTTTGAGCAGTTATTACCTTTTTGTTTAATATAATTTACTTAGTTGTAAATTTATATAATTTAATGTTTAATAACAGCAATGTTTAACAACTGACTTAAATTTCTGAAATTTAACAATCAGTTCTCGAGAGCCTATACAAGCCAGCTACAGGCCACCACTGAGAGTATGAAAGCAGAGCAGAACTAAAACACTGACTAAAAATATCAGAAAGAGTCAGAGATGCACAGTAGAACACTATTACATAGTATTTCTACTAAGATAGATGAAATAGATGTAAATGACCATAAGAACATAGATAATAGTTAAAATATGATGAAATAATTAGAAAGTGATGAATTTTGACTAGTCTTTTGAGCTAGTCTTTTGAGGTCTTTGTAATATAGTGAAGGTGGTTAGAGACATTTTTTAATGTGTGTGCCTGTTTCCAAAATTAACATTTAGAAGTTGCAATTAAGAGAATAGAAGTAGAATGTTTAATTTTCAAACCAGTAGAGGGAAAGAAAAGAAATAAGGAAAGCTTGATCGATATAATAGAAGGGAGCACATTAGAAAAAATAAAGATAGTGAAAAGAGAACGCAAAATGCAAATTACATATAACCAGAAGAGTCAACACCACCATAAAAGTAAATGGCAGAAACTTGCCAGTTAAGATAAACTCTTAGATTTTTTGAAAAATAATTATAAAATTTAGCTGTATGCTATTGATAAGAGAGACACATAACACATAATGACATAAAAAGTTGAAACTAGGGGGATAAATATACTAGATAGATACTAACTAAAAGAATTTTATGTCAATATCATTAAACATAGACATTAAGGCAGAAAGCATTATTAAGACTAAAGAAAGACATTGCTTTTTTTAAAAAGTAAGCATTCACCAGCCGGGCCTGGCGACTCACGCCTGTAATCCCAGCACTTTGGGAGGCCGAGGCGGGCGGATCACGAGGTCAGGAGTTGGAGACCATCCTGGATAACACAGTGAAACTCTGTCTCTACTAAAAATACAAAAAATTAGCCGGGCATGGTGGCGGGCACCTGTAGTCCCAGCTACTCGGGAAGCTGAGGCAGGAGAATGGCATGAACCCGCGAGGCGGAGCTTGCAGTGAGCGGAGATCGCGCCACTGCACTCCAGCCTGGGCAACAGAGCGAGACTCCGTCTCAAAAAAAAAAAAAAAAAAAAAGTAAGCATTCACAAAGAATATATATCAGTGCTGGACTTACATATATTTAACAATATATCCATGAAAAATATGAAGCAAAAATTAATTAAATGTCCAGAATAAATTGGTAATTCCATAATTATAATGAGAAATTTTAATGTCTTTCAGAGTAATTTATAGATTGAACGGATATAGTGAACTTCGATTAACACAATTAATAAACCTGATCTAAAATATATTAAATGTTAACAATTAGAACATATAACCTTTTCAAGCATATATGGAACAGCTATAGTGGAGTTATTTTTGTTTGGTTTGTTTTGTTTTTGTCTTGTCTTGTTTTGTTTTGTTTTGTTTTGTTTTGTTTTGTTTTGAGATGGAGTCTCGCTTTGTCACCCAGGCTGGAGTGCAGTGGCGCGATCTTGGCTCACTGAAACCTCCACCTCCTGGGTTCAAGTGATTCTCCTGCCTCAGCCTTCCGAGTACCTAGGACTACAGGCATGTGACACCACACCTGGCCAATTTTTGTATTTTTAGTAGAGACGGGGTTTCACGACGTTGGCTAGGCTGGTCTCTAACTCCTGACCTCAAGTGATCTGCCCAACTCGGCCTCCCAAAGTGCTGGTATTATAGGCATGAGCCACCGCACCCGGCCAATCTTTTTATGGAGCACACTAGGTCACAAAACAAATGTCCACAAATACCAAAGAAATGATACAATATTATCATTTTAGTATAACTTTTATACTAATGTAAGGTCATGTGAATAGTGCAGTAAAGTTAGATATCAATACAAACAGTTTAGCACCACCCACATGCCACTCATGAAATTAAAGAAAAAATTGTCTAAATTATAGGTCAAAAAAATTGAGGAAATAGAATACTTTAAAATGAATGAGAATGAAAATAATGCATATTAACGTTGTAAGTTGCCACACAACTTGTATAGTACTTGTAGAAATACTTAGATATTTAGAAAAGAAACAATGAAAATTAAAGAGATAAGTATCCAAGAAGTAGTGAAAGAACAACCAAACCAGTTCAAAAAGAAGGAAAGTAATAAAATAATAGATATTGGTGAAGTAAAAAAGAAACAGAATTAACAAAACCAAGAGATAATTATTTGCAAAAATTAATGAAATAAATTCTAGCAAGAATAATTTTTTTAAAAAATTAAGGCACAGATAATCTTAAGAATGGAAGAATAGACAGCACAACATAAATGTGGGAGAAACTCTCCCAATAATTATTAGAGAATATTTTAATAATTTTATAATACCTTGCAAAACAAAGAATTTTTATAAATACTACTTATCAAAACTGATATATAGCCATTTAACAAATTGAAAAAGTAGTTTAAAATCTTTCCAATCCCCCGCCAAAAAAAACTATTATGTATTGTTTTGGTGACTCTACCAAATATAGTCATGCACTACATAATAATGTTTTGGCCAACAATGGGCCATGTATATGAGGTGGTCTCATAAGATTATAATGGAGATGAAAAATTCCTATCACTTAGTGATGTAGCCGTGATGATGTTGTAACACAGTGCATTACTCATGTGTTTGTGATAATGCTAGTGTAAATAAACCTATTGCCCTGCCAGTCATTTAAAACTAGCATATACAATTATGGAAAGTATACAATACTTGATAATGATAATAAAATACTATGTTACTGGTTTACGTATTTACTATACAGTACTTTTTAGTCATTATTTTTAAATGTACTCCTTCTACTTAAAAAACAAAAAAGTTAAATGTTAAACAGCTTCAGGCAGGTCTTTTAGGAGGTAGTCCAGCAGTGGGCATTGTTATCATGGGAGATGACAGCTCCATGTGTTAATGCTCCTGAAGTCCTTGCAGTCAGACAAGAGGTGGAGGTGGAAGACAGTGATATTGATGATCCTGACCCTGTGTTGTAGGCCTAGGCTAATGTGTGTGTTTGTGACTTCGTTTTTAACAGAAAAGTTTAAAAAGTTAAAAAGTTTTTAAAATGTTTCAATAGAAAAAAAGCTTATAGAATAAGGATGTTAAAAAGAAAATGTTTTTGTATAGCTGTACAATGTATGTTTTAAACTGTTATTACAAAAGAGTCAAAAAGATTTTTAAAAATTTGTAAAGTAAAAATGTTATAGTAAGCTAACGTTAATTTTATTACTGAAGAAAGAAAACTTATAAAAATAAATTTAGTATAGCCTAGGCGTACAGTGTTTATAAAGTCTACAGTAGTGTACAGTAGTTGTAGGCCTTTACATTCACTAACTACCCACTTACTGACTCACTTTGAGCAATTTCCAGTCCTGCAAGTTCCATTTCACAGTAATGGCCTACATAGTTGTGCCTTTTTTAAAAAAAATCTTTTATACCATATTTTTACTGTCCCTTTTCTATGTTTAGATATATAAATACTTGCTATTGTATTACAATTGCCTACAGTACCCAGTATAGTAACATGCTGTACAGGTTTGTAGCCTAGGAACAATAGGCTATACCATCTAGCCTAGTTGTGTAGTAGACTCTGTAATGTTCATAGGTTGGTGTAAGTACACTCTGTAGTGTTCATAGAATGGCAAAATTGCTTAGCAACACATTTCTCAGAACATATCCCCATCATTAAGTGGCACACAACTGTAGGAGTGATCCCTATATATGGACTGTTCCTGAGAATAGAAAAAGAAGGAATAGTTTTCAATGAATTTAATGAACCACAGTATAACTCTTATACTAACATAAGATCATGTGAATATAATATCAAGTGGGAATGTGATTAGTATAAAACCAATAGTAAGAACAATTACTACAATGGCAATATCAGTAGCAGTATCTAGTAAATGTGAAGATATGCATGGCCTATATCCTAGGAATTCTACTCCTAGATATATCTCCTCGAAACTCTTGGATGTGCATACCAGGAGACATAACAGAGTGTGTTCACAGCAATATTGTTTATATTAAGAAAAACCTAAAGTGATCCAAATGGTCATTGAGAGAACAGTGACAGAAGAGTGAATAAACTGCAATATTCATACAATGGAATACTATACAGTTTTTAGAGCAAATGAACTATAGCTAGGCTCATCAATATAGACAAAACATTTTCAAAAGGATATTGACAAAACCAAGCAAAACTAAACAACGTATTGTTTAAGATGACACATATTTGTAGTAAAACTGGAAAGAAAAGTAAAGAGATAATAAACACAAATCTAGGATATTGTTACCTTTGAAGAGGAGCAATCAAGGAAGGCATTATATTGACTTTTAAAGTATTGGTGATTAATCTAGGTGGTGGATATGTGAGTATTCTTTAATTACTAATGTTTATGAATATATATTGTTTATATTAAGCTGTATATATATGAAATATTCATTTATAAAAATTAACTTTAACTTCTGAGATTTTATTATAGAAGAGCAAACATTTGAGAATTATCAGAAAAAAATATAAAAAATAAGTTCTTGAAGAATAGTATTACCTACTCTTAACATGTATCATAAATCTAAAATAGGTGAAAGTTTATTAATGACACATGAATAGGATAACATGTAATAGAAGAATACTTTAAAAAGATTCTAATTAATAATCCTTAGAGGAATTTGAAAGTAAACTGCAACTAAAAAGAATAGAATGCCATGGGAAGAGAACAATCAGAAAACAGGAAAGATTTTGAAAATTAAATATATGATTTCCTGAATTCAGAAATTTAGTACAAAGGGTTTGAGGATAAATTCAATAAGTTTTCCCAGAAAGCAGGGCAGAAGGACAAAGAGAAAGTAAAGAGTAAAAGGTTAAGAGATTATTCCAAGAAGTCTTATATCTATTACGTGTTTACTAATAATAATAGCTAGTAATTATACATTGCATGCAGTGTACCAGACACCATTCTAAGCAATTTATCTGTATTGATTCATTTAATCCTACCAACTAGGATACTCTGATGGGTCCTGCTTTTTTAGATGGTGAAACTGTGGCACAGAGAGCTTAAGTAACTTGCCCAAGGACACATAGCTGATAAGTGGTAAAACTGGAATATGACACTAGGCCAGCAGGCCTAACCAAAATTATACTACCTCTCACTAACATATTAATGCTAAAATGTTAATGTCTATGTGTTTTTGAAAAATAATCACAAAGAAGCAACTTTCTAATTGGTCATTCTGTTTTTAGGGCTGTATTTTGAAGCTAGGAGTCATGCAATTGTTGTGAAGCTTAGAAATTACAATGTTTTAACTAAGTTTTGCCTCAAATTACAGTTTCTCAAACTTTAGAGAAGAGTTTTAAATAATGGAGAATATATGTTAAATTTTTATATTCAATTAAGACAAATTTTTTACTAATTTATCAGTAATGCTTTGAAATTGTTTCATTACAATATAAATAGGAATAGCATTTAAGCTACTCAGCATTTATCTTCAGGATATGTATTAGAATTTTGCAGTTTCTATATCTTGATGATACTGGATTTCCAGGGTTACCTTGAAGAACTCTTACGACTTCGAGAGAACCAACTATCTGAATCTGTCTCCCAGAATAAAATACTACTTCAAAGGATTGAAGATTCCGATCTGGCTCATAAACTGGAGAAGGAACAATTAGAATATATAATTGTGGAGCTTCAAGATCAGCTGTAAGTACAAGCCTTTTAGAAAAATGTTGGTAGCATGTAAACATTAAGACAAAATGTCGTGTTTTGATACAGGAGGCAAATTCCAAGAAATCTTATTGCCTGTTAAATTCTTTTTCACCTACACTTTTTTGAAAGTTTACTTATGTTCTTGTTATTACAGAAGTAATCCATGTTAATTGCAGAAACTTAAAAAAATACAAGAAGAGGCCTGGTGCAGTGGCTCATATCTGTAATCCCCCCACTGGGGAGGCTGAGTTGGGCAGATTGCTTGGGCCCAGGAGTTAGAGACCAGCCTGGGTGACATGGCAAAACCCCATCTCTACTAAAAATACAAAATATTAGCTAGGCATGGTGGCATATGTCTATAGTCCCAGCTACTCAGGAGGCTGAGGCAAGAGGATCACTTGAGTCCAGGAGGTCAAGGCTGCAGTGGGCCCTGATTGAGCCACAGCACTCCACTCTGGCTGACAGAGCAAAACTCTGTCAAAAAAAAAAAAAAAAGGAATAAGAATAAGAAAATACAAGAAGAGAATAAAAATTACCTTCAGTTGTGTTACCCAGCATAAACTGGTTATAACTTGGTGTATATTATTCCAAATGCATATGTATAATTCTTAAAGTAGTTATTGATTGATTGATTACAAATAGATGGTATTTAGACTAGCGCTACTCAAAGTATAGTGCTGGTATATTAACTGTTACTAGGTTGTACCAGAATGTCACTAAGCAGAGTTTAGGATAGCTGAGTTATTTTTTAAGAGCAAGACTTTTTTTGATGAAGAAAGCAGTATAATAAGCTACTTTCTGGTACAAACCTCTTGTCACTGTTCAAAGCACTTGTACTAATCATATTTTGTCAGGCTTGCTGTGTTCAATTTTTTGTGAAAATTTTCACATATTAATATTTAATCTTAAAAAAATAATTTAAATTTGTTTATTTTGAAATAATTTCAAACTTTCAGAAAAATTATACGGACAGTTCAAAGAATTCCCATATGATGTTTCCTAGATTCATTATTTTCAACATTTTGCCACATTTGCCTTATAATTCTCTCCCTTTCCCTAAACACACATACATTTTTTAACCACTTGAGAGGTTGCATACATTATGGTCCTTCATTTCTTACTGCTTCAGTGTCATTCTTAAGAACTAAAATGTTCTCTTATATGATCATAGTTCAGTTGTCAATTAAAGATATTTAAATTGATACGATACTTTCACCTATAATTCATATTCCAGTTTTGTCAAAAGTTTAAATAATGTCCCTTACTACAAATTTTGTTTCTTTGGTACTGGGTCCAATTCAGGATTGTGTTTGCATGTGGTTGTCAGCCACTTTAAACTTTGAACAGTTTTCAGTCTTTTTCTTGCATAAGATTGATATTTCTAAAGAAAACTAGCTAGAATTCTTATAGAATGTCCCTTAATTTGTGTTTCTTTACTTTTTCCTTATGATTAGAATGAGCTTATCCATTCTTGGCTGGATTACAACATAAGTAGTTATGTTCTATTGGGGATATGATACCCAGAGGCACATAGTCTGTTGGACCTTTATTAATGATACTAATTTTAATCATTTGGTTAAGGTGTTTTTCTCTTCTGTATAGTTACTGCTGTTCCTTCTGTTCCTTATAAATTAATTAACATGTAATTTATAAGTAGGTAGTTTAAAAATTTCAACTTCTATTTTGCATTCAGGAGGTATATTTGCAGGTTTGTTACATGGATATGTTACATGATGCTGAGATTTGCGGTATGATTGATCCTGTCACCCAGGTAGTGAGCATAGTACTCAATAGGTAGTTTTTCAGCCCTTACCCCCCACCCTTCCTCTCCCTTCTCATAGTCCCCTGTGTCTAATAATGCCACCTTTATGGCCACGTGTACCGATTATTTAACTACCAGCTATAAGTGAGAACATGAGGTATTTGGTTTTCTGTTTCTGCATTAATTCACTTAGGATAATGGCCTCTAGCTGCATCCATGTTGCTGCAAAGGATATGAGTTCATTCTTTTTTATGGCTGCATAGTAGTCCATGGTATTGATGTACCACATTTTCTTTATCCAATCCACTGTGAATGAGCTCCTCAGTTGATTCTATGACTTTGCTATTGTCAATAGTGCTGTGATGAACATAGGAGTGCATGTCTATTTGGCAGACCAATTTATTTTCTTTTGGATATATACCTAGTAATGGTATTGCTGGGTTGAATGGTAATTCTGTTTTAAGTTATTTGAGAAATCTCCAAACTGCTTTCCACAGTGGCTGAACTAATTCATTCCCATCAACAGAGTGTAAGCATTCCCTTTTCTCCATAGCCTTATCATCTGTTGTTTTGCAACTTTTTAATAATAGCCATCTGACTGGTGTCAGAATGGTTTTGATTTGCATTTGTCTAATTATTGTGTTGAGCATTTTTTCACATTTGTTGGTTGCTTGTATGTCTTCTTTTAAGTATCTGTTCATGTCCCTTGCCCACTTTTTACTGGGGTTATTTGTTTTTTTCTTGTTGATTTAAGTTCCTTACAGGTTCTAGATATTAGACATTTGTTGGATGCATAGTTTGTGAGTGTTTTTCCCCAATCTGTAGGTTGTCTGTTTACTCTGTTGATAGTTTCTTTTGCTGTGTAGAAGCTCTTTAGTTTAATTAGGTCCCACTTGTCAATTTTTGTTTTTGTTGTAATTGCTTTTGAGGACTTAGTCATAAATTCTTTTCCATATGTGACATTATTCTGCATATGGCTACCCAGCTATCACAGCACCACTTATTGAATAGGGAGTCCTTTCTCCATTGCTTATTTTTGTCAACTTTGTCAAAGATAAGATGGATTGTGGGTATGTAGCTTTATTTCTAGGTTCTCTGTTCTGTTCCATTGGACTTTGTGTCTATTTGTGTAACAGTACCATTCTGTTTTGGTTACTGTAGACTTCCTTGTAATATAGTTTAAAGTCGGGTAATGTGACGCCTCCAGCTTTGTTATTTTTTATTAGGATTGATTTGGCTATTTTGGTTCCATATTAATTTTAGAATTTCTTTTCTAATTCTGTGAAAAATGATGTTGGTATTTTAATAGGGATAGCAGTCAATCATGCAATTTGTTCTGTAGGTTGCTTTGGGCAGTATGGTCATTTTCACAGTATTGATTCTTCCAATTCATGAGCACGGAATATTTTTCCATTTGTTTATGTCATTTGTGATTTCTTTCAGCAGTGTTTTGTAGTTCTCCTTGTAGAGATCTTTCACCAAATTGTTTAGATGTATTCTCAGGTATTTTGTGCATGTGTGGCTGTTGTAAATGGGATTGTGTTTTTGAGGTGACTCTCAGCTTGACCGTTATTGGTGTATAGAAGTACAACTGATTTTTATGCATTGATTTTATACCCTGAAACTTTACTGAAGTTGTTCTTCAGTTCTAGGAGCCTGCTGGTGGCCGTCAAGGTTTTCTAGGTATATAATTATATCATCAGGAAAGAGAGACAATATGACTTCTCTTTTACCTATTTGGATGCTTTTTATTTCTTTCTTTTTCCTATTGCTCTGGCTAGGACTTCTAGTACTATGTTGAATAGGAGTGGCCAGAGTGGGTGTCCTTGTCTTATTCTACTTCCCAAGGGGAATGTTTCCAGCCTTTGCCCATTCAGTATGATGTTGGCTGTGGGTTTGTCATAGATGGCTCTTGTTATTTTAAGATACATTCCCTCAAAACCTAGTTTTTTGAGGGTTTTTATCATGAAGGGATGTTGGATTTTATCGAAAGCTTTTTCTATGTCTATTGATATGATCATACGGTTTTTGTTTTTTATTCTGTTTATGTGGTAGATCACATTTCTTGATTTGCTTATTTTGAGCCATCCTTGCATCCAGGAATAAAGTCTACTTGATCATAGTTAACTAACTTTTAGAGGTGCTGCTAGATTTAGTTTGGTAGTATTTTATCAAGTATCTTTTCCTCTATCTTCATTAGGGATACTGGCCTATAGTTTTCTTTTTTTGTTTTGTCTTTCATTTTGGTATCAAGATGATGCTGGCTTCCTAGAATGTGTTACAGAAGAGTCCATCCTCCTTGGTATTTTGGAATAGTTTCAGTAGGATTGACACCAGCTCTTCTTTGTTTGTCTGGTAGAATACAACTATGAATATATCTGGTCCAGGACTTTTCTTAGTTGGTAGGTTTCTTATTACTGTTTTAGAGCTTATTTCTCTGATCAGGTTCTCAATTTCTTCCTGGTTTAATCTTGGGAGATTGTGTGTTTCCGGCAACTTATCAATTTCCTCTAGATTTTCTAGTTTGTGTGCATAAAACTGTTCGTAATAGTCTCTGAAGATATTTTGTATTTCTGTGGGATTAGCTGTAATGTCAACTCTGTCATTTCTCATTGTGCTTATTTGGATCTTCTTTCTTTTTTTCTTTGATAATAGCTAACAGTCTGTCAATCTTGTTTATCCTTTCAAAGAAATGATGTTTGGTTTTATTGATCCTTTGAGTAGGTTTTTGTGTCTCAGTTTTGTTCAGTTCTGCTCTGATTTCAGTTATTTCTTTTCTTCTTCTAGCTCTGGGGTTAATTTATTTTTGTTATTTTAGTTCCTCTAGGTGCGACGTCAGAGTGTTGATTTAAGATCTTTCTAACTTCTTGATGTAAACATTTAGTGATAAAAACTTTTAACACTATTTTTGCTGCATCCCAGAGATTTTGGTATGTTGTATCTCTTTTTCATTTATTTTAAAGAATTTTTAAATTTCTGTCTTAACTTCATTGTTTACTTAAAAGTTATTCAGGTGTAAGTTGTTTGGTGCCAATGTGATTGTGTGATTTTGAGAGATTTTCTTGCTATTCACTTCAATTTTTCTTCCACTGTGGTCCACATATATGCTTGGTATGATTTCAGGTTTTTAGAAATTTGTTTGGACTTGCTTTATGGCCAAGCATGTGGTCAAACTTAGAATATGTTCAGTGTGCCAATGAAAATAAAGTATATTGTGTGGTTGATGGGTATTCTTTAGATGTCTATTAGGTCCAATTGGACAAGTCAAATTTACATCCAGAATTTGTTAAGTTTTCTGCATTAATGATCCATCTAATGCCGTTAATGGGGTATTGAAGTCCACTACTATTATTGTGTGGTTAAGTCTTTTGTAGGTCTAGAAGTACTTGCTTTATGAATCTGGGTGCTCCAATGTCAGTGTGTGTGTGTGTATGTGTGTGTGCATGTGTTTGTGTATGTGTGTGTGTGTGTGTATATGACAGTTAAGTCTTTTTGTTGTATTGAACTCTTTATCATTATGTAATGACCGTAATGACCTTCTTTGTCCTTTTTTAGTGTTGTTTCTTTAAAGTATGCTTTATCCGATATAAGAATAGGACCCCCTGCTCTTTTTTGTTTTTAGTTTGCATGGTAAATCTTTCTTCATGTCTTTACTTTGAGCCTGTGGGTTTCATTATGTGTGAGATGGTTCTCTTGAAGATAGCAAGTGGTTGGGTCTTGTTCTATTAGCCACCTTGCCTCTCTGTGTTTTTTAAGTGGGGCATTTAGACCGTTTACATTCATGGTTAATATCGCTATGTGATGTTTTGATCCTATCCTGGTGCTGTTAGCTGGTTGCTTTGTAGTCTTGATTTTTTAGTCTCGATAGGGTCTGCAGGCTATGTATTTAAGTGTGTTTTTGTGGTAGTACATATTGTTATTTCATTTCTGTGTCTACAACTCCCTCAAGGATCTCTTGCAAGGCTGGTCTATTGGTAATGAATTTTCACAGTGATTGCTTGTCTGGAAAATATTATACATTTCCTTTTCTTATGAAGCTTGGTTTGGTGGGATATTAAATTCTTGACTGGTATTTCTTTTCTTTAAGAATGCTGAAAATATGTTCCCAGTCTTCTCTGGTGTGTATAGTTTCTGTTGGGAAGTCTACTGTTAGCCTGATAGGATCCCCTTTGTAAGTGATATGACCCTTTTCTGTAGCTACCTTTGAGATTTTTTCTTTCACGTTGACCTGGCAAGTCTGAAGATTCTGTGTCTTGGGGGTGGTCATCTTGTATAGTATCTCATAGAGGTTCTCTGAATTTTTTTGAATTTGTTTGCCAACCTATCTAGTGAGATCAGGGAAATTTTTCAGTTCCAGAAGTTCACTTTAGTTCTTTCTTAAAATGACTATGTTGTCATTCAACTCTTAGATCATTTCACTGGCTTCCTTGAAATGGATTTCAACTTTCTTTTCAATCTTGCCATCTAGATTTTGAATTCTATGTATGTCACTTCTGATATTTCACTCTGGTTAGGATTCATTGCTGGGGAGCTAGTGTGATCCTTTAGAGGTAAGGAAATTCTCTGAGTTTTTGAATTGCTAGAGTTCTTGTGCTAATTTTATCTCATCTGAGGGGGCTAGTGTTTCTTTTTCTTTTATAAACTGCTCACATTTGGATGGGGCTTGTTTTCATTTTCGTTTTTTTAATCCCTTGAGGGTTTGACTGTTGTGTATGTTGTGTATAGTTGGTTGGCTTTGTTTTTGTGTCTTTTCAGAGGGCCAAGGTTCTGTAGGGGTTCCTTAGTTTGGGCTAGTTTCCTCATTGGGTTTCACAGGCATTGTGTGCTAAAGGAATTTATTTTTGTTTGGTGGTGTAATTCAGGCTGTGATGCAGTAGATGGCATTTAAGAGTAAGGGCTGGCAGATATGCTTACTCAGCTATAAGCCTCCTTTGTATTTCAGTGCCTTCATAGTGCTTTGGGGGAGGGAGAGATGTGGTGGTAGGGGAGATGTGGTGAGGGGAGATGTGGTTGGGGGAGATGTGGTAGGGGGGAGATGTTGTTGGGGGGTAGAAGATTACCCCCTCACTAAGTCTGTTCCTAGGTTTTGGGGGAACCCCTCCTATCATGGATGTCCTGCCTATGTTTCCTTAGCCCTAAGGGGGACTCTGGTTGGCTGCATAAAAGGTCCCCTCCTTTAGGGACCTCTCAAGCTGAAGCTTAGATCACCAGAGACTCACAACTTCCTGGGGACCCACTGGTCCTCTGAGCTTGGCAGAGTCAGAGTAGGTTGTGGGATATGTCTTTGGTGTTCTGGTGATTAACTGGGTCAAGGGCATAGGATCCCCAGGCAGTGTGTTGGTGCCACGGATTTATAGCTCGTGTGGTGCCTGCAGCCCAGGGTTTTTAGCCTGGCAAATGGCTGTGGGATCCCCCAAACAGATCTCCCTCCAGTGTCTGCCCCAGGAACAGACCTAACCAGCTAGATTTGTTCCAAGCTTTCTGTGCTGAAATTGCGGGGCTGTCCCAAGTGTTCCAGGCCATGGGGCTCCCTCAAGCAGAAGGTACGACTGGTCAACAGACTGAACCCTTCCCAGGCTGGTCTTGTGGAAGGAAGGATGCCCAGCTCCCTTGGCAGCACATGAACTCACGCCTCCCTGTTTGTGTTCTGAGTGGGGGCTCCCTCCTCACTAGAGCTGTAACCACAGATCCCAGTTCTGGAACCCTGGACAGTGTACTCCAACCCTGGGAGGTTGGGACTGGGCCTGCAGCTTTGTCCTCTGGCCCCATAGGGTTGAACACCAGCTGTGCTGGGGAAGCTAAACTGCTCCCAGGTCACTGGCAAAACACTCAGGCGGGGCAGTGCAGGCTGTGCTCTGTGCACCCTCTTACAGGAATGGCGAGGCAGGTGGCTTTGAGAGGAGCTGGAAGACAAGGGGGCATGTGGATCAGCCTTGCCCAATCCCATGAGAAAGGGAGCACTACTTTCTCCTGGCTCTGCAGTCAGTAGGGGCTCCAGTCACTCAGAGCAAGATGGAGAGACTTAGGGGATGGGAACCTATGGTTGCCTTTTGCTGTAGCTGTCTCATGTTCCATGAACCCTTCTGAGCTCTGCACAGGTTTGAGCTCTGCCTCTGCATACTCTGTGGGCAATTCCTTTGCCAACTCAAATGTCTGTGTGGGTTGTGGGATCTTTTATAGTTAGGATCCCCGAGGTGTGGTGTTCTGTAGTTCCTTCACTCCCCCCTTGCTTTGGCTCTGTTCAGGACCGAGAGCTGGTCCTTGTGCTAAGAGATTCTATGCAGGCTTTCCAACTTCCTTTTCAACCTTGGTGTCTGCATCACCTCTCTCTCAACTTTCAGTGTTTTCTCTCAAACAATCTGTTTGAAATGTGATGGTTTACTTGATATTTTGGTTTCTCTTGAAGGGAGATGTGTTTCCTGGCTATATCTAATTGGCCATCTTGTCCCCTGCCTCCTAAAAACGTTCCTAGAATTGGACTCTGCAGACACTGTCCCAGTAGCAGCCCAGCTCCACTTCCTCCTTCCAGTGTTATTTTGTAATGAGATACTTTGAGACTAAGTATCATAGACTAAAAATCATCATAAAAGATGATTTTTAAAGTTAGAAAGTTTTATTAAGGAACAAAAAATTTTAATATTTTTTAGGAATTTGTATTTTGATGAAAAGAATTATGTTTACATATTTTTTCTTCTTTTTTTTTAATGGTATTTTAAAGAGAGTTTGTCCTATGAGGCATCACTGGGTAGGGAAGAGATTAACACCTTTCTTAACCCCTTGCTTCCATTAGCAGGGAGAAAAATATCAAGAGCCAAACAGTAGAGATTTCTGGTTATTAAAAACCAGATTTCTGGTTATATAAAATTATAATTTTACAATTAAAATATTAAGAAGATAATTTCATTTTTCTTTTACAAACAATACTGGTAGTTTAAATGCTTTTAACATAAAATAATTATGAAATCACTTTATTTTTTCAAAAGAGATGTTTTCATTTTAAGAATTAAATTTAAATGGATCACATTTATCTTACTTTGGATAATTGAAAGGAAACAAAGACTTTCAAACTTTCAAGTTTGAGAAATTAATCTACCTGAGTTATGATTCTGTCGTATTTCTGGATGTAGGAGTGCCATTGATCCTCTTGATTTTTGCAAAGGAAGCTTTCAGTTGTCTTTAATAACCTTAATTTAATACCTTTAATTTTAATTAAATATTACTGGAGCAACAAAATAATTATGGCCACTGATCAGAATTAGACTATTTTCTTGAGTTGAGAGGTTAAAGATTTACTTTCATATAGTATGGCTTCAATTTTTAGATAGGCATAAGGCATAAATTGGTGTCTTCTAAGATTCTTTCATACAAAAACCACTTTCAAGGATACTGAACAGGAGCATAAGATACATTTCTTTGTGAATGTTCACAATTCACTACTTTATCAGAATCAGCTTTAAGAAATGCAGAACAGTGTGGATATTTTTGCAGCTATAGTGAAAGAGTGAATATGTTTTATCCTTATCTTGCTGAGATTTTTAAAAAATCAACTGTCAAGAAGGCCTATAATCAAAGTTGGGCATTGAAATTTCCTTTGTTACTCCTGAGAAGATAAAAGTAGCCCTCAGAAAATTAAAATTGTAAAGGAAAAGGCCAGAGAAGGAATACTGATAGGTAGAATATGAGGCATGTAATATTTGCTTCTACATTGTGTTGATTTTTTTTCCTGGGCAATTTAAATCCTGAGTCACTTAGTTTTATGTATTTCTTGATGATTAGATGTATTTTGAATTACTATTAAAACGCTTTTTGATTATGTCGTTGAATACTCATAAAATATATACATTTTGTAGTTTGGGCAACAGAGTACAAGTTAGTGTGGAGTATTACAGGAGCATTCTAAAGCTGTCTTGAAAATCAGGACTGTGCTCTACACTTTCCAGTTGTGAGGTCTTAATGTTTCTTCATCTATATAACAGAGATAACATACTCACTTTGTGAACCATTATGAGTATTAATGGTGTTAAGTATATAAAAAAGAAGGCATTCAAAGGTTTATTCCTCTGCTTTTATATATGGGAACCTTAAAATCTCCTTTATAAATTCACTCAGGGAGATAAGTAGAAAATTAAAATCTTTTGTCAAAATGCTACGGATCAAACAATGAGTTTTGACTCTATCATATTATCCCCAAGTTCCAAGAAACTCACTTTTGAGTTCTGATTTCCAAACGGCAATGGGATTAATCTTTTAAATAATAGTATTTGTATGTACCATGCCTGTAAGACATATGTGTTTGCTTAACAGGTATCACTTGTAACTGTAATTCTTTTTGTCAGTCATATGTTTGATGCAATACTAATTTAAAGTATTTTAAAAGGCATTGACAAAGGTATATTTGAATGATTAAGATTATGGTGGGCCAAGCACAGTGGCTCATGCCAGTAATCCCAGAGCTTTGAGAGGCCAAGGCGAGAGAATCACTTGAGGCCTGCAGTTCAAGACCAGCCTGGAAAACACAGCAAGACCCCCATCTCTACAAAATACGAAAAATTAGTTGGGTGTGGTGCTGTGTGCCTGTAGTCCTAGTTTTTTGGGAGGAACTATGATGGCATAAGTGCATTCCAGTCTGGGAAACAGAGTGAGACACTGTGTCCAAAACAAAGAGAAAAAGATTTTGGTGGTTAGAATATTTAAGTATTGAATCATTTCAATCTTCTACTATTATGATTAGTAATAATAGTATAATTTCATTGGGAGACACAGGATTATTCTAGGTTTTGGTTCTTATGGTTTTATGGAAATCTGTGTACAGCTTGACTTTAGTTGGCTCCAGTAACTGTTTTAACTCTTATTTATATATTAAATTTTATTCAATAAAAGAAATATAAACAAGCTTAAAGTACCAATTGTACTTTGGATCAGTATATGGAAAGTTTGTTAAAAGATTAAAAAATGTATTTGTTTATGGCCTTTTCAAAACTTTTTTTTTTTTTTTTTCTTTTCTTTTTTTATTATACTTTAGGTTTTAGTAGGGTACATGTGCACATTGTGCAGGTTAGTTACATATGTATACATGTGCCTTTTCAAAACTTATTGTCATAATTATTTATGCTAATTGGTGGAAAAACTTCAGTTTTGAATTTAGTATTTTTCAGTAAACATATATTTAAATGTATACTTTGTACCTGAGATTGCCCAAGTAGTTGAGAATATCGACAATAATAAGGCATGTTCTCTTTTTACATGGGATTCAAAATCTCCTGAAGTAGTTAGATTTAACATCAATCACATTGTTACTTGAAGGGTGCCATATATAAGAGAGGGGTTTTGTCAACATCTAGAGGTACAGACTGTCAGATAGATGATCTATTGTACAAATGATTCTTTGTAAAACATGCATTCCAACCTCAGGAATAAATAGCCACGGAACAGCTTGCAAAGCTTGAACACATTTGTCATATTTAACACCAATAATTGTTTTCTATTTTGTTTTCCTAGTTAGCTGATGAATGTTTTTTCTCTTTATGGTTTGAAAGATTATGGCAACAGTAACCTGTCCTATATGGTTTCCTAGTAAAGAAACTGAAGTGTCACTCATAGTGAAATATAAGTAAAGAATAATTCATTGTTAAAACTAGGCCATTGTTACAGTTGAAAAGCCAATTTAGTGTAGTTCGTAGTGAGTACTGATGGCATGATCTATCAGCCTACAAACCATAAGTCAGTGATACTATGCCATTCTGATGCACAAGTTTAAGATGAGTGGTATGAATCCTAACAAGAGTGCAATGATGACATTATAACGGACAGATTATGACAGTTTCTACTCATCTGGTCATGTATACATTTTGGCAGGTAATAATTCTAATTAAAATTTAAAATTAAAATCATGTTAATATGTATTATATAATCTACTGCCCATATATGGATGAAAAATCAAGAAAATGTATCCAGAAGAGAAAAATGCCAAGCCCCAGAAGGATAAACCATGTTCTATTGCACTTCCTTGGGTATTAATCGGAAATTAGATATTACAACAGGAAAGAGTAGTAATTTGATATTGATAGTATTTCCTCTGCCTGAAGAAAGAGCAAGAACGACTTTGTATTGTGGTTTGAGTGCCAGCTTACCCTCAGTATAACAGAACATAAAGTAAATTATTAAAGTTTTTGACTGCCACCCTTGGCCCCTAGACAGCATCTCTGGACCCACCCAGGGCCTGGGCAACTCACTGCCCTGAAGGGAAGGACACAAGCCTGGCTGGCTTCACTATCTGCTGATCCTGGAACCCTAGGGCCTTGAGTGAACATAGGTGGTAGTCTGGTAGTGGTTGCAGCAGTGCTTGGGTGAGACCCAGTGCTGTCCTAGCTTCAGGTATGACCTAGTGCAGTCCCAGTGATGGTGGCCATAGGAGGGCTTACATCACCACACCCCCAGTTCCAGGTGGCTGAACACAGAGAGACACCCTGTTTGTTTGGGAGAAAGTAAGGGAAAAGGACAATAGTCTTTTCCTGGTAATCCAGAGAATTCTTCCAGATCTTATCCAAGACCACTAAGGCAGTACCTCTACGAGTCTGCAAAAACCACAGTGTTATTGGGCTTGGGGCCAACTCCCATTGACTACCTGGAAAGCCTTCTCAAAAAGAATGGGCACAAACATGTCCAGACTGCAAAGACTACAATAAATAGTTAACTCTTCAATGCCCCAAGACTGACAAATGTCTACAAACATCAGACCATCCAGGAAAACATGGCTTCACCAAATGACCTAAATAAATCAACTTGGAGTCCTGGAGAAATAGGGATATGTGAACTTAGAGAGAGAATTCAAAATAGCTGTTTTGAGGAAACTAAAAGAAATTAAAATAATACAGGTAAGTAATTTGGAATTCTATCATAAATTTAACAAAGAGATTGAAATAATTAAAAAGAGTCAAACAGAAATTCCACAGCTGAAAAATGCAATTGATATACTGAAGAATGCATCAGAGTCCCTTAATAGCAGAATTGATCAAGCAGAAGAAAGAATTAGTGAACTCAAAGACAGGCTATTTGAAAATTCAGAGTCAGAGGAGACAAAAAAAATAGAAAAAGAATAAAGCACACCTGCAAGATTTAGCAAATAGCCTCAAAAGAGCAAATCTAAGTCATTCACCTTGAAGAGGAGGTAGACAGAGAGATTGGGTTAGAAAGTTTATTTAAAGGGATAATAACAGAGAACATCCCAAACCTGGAGAAAAATATCAGTATTCAAATACAGGAAGGTTATAGAACACCAGGCAGATTTAACCCAAAGAAGACTACCTTGAAGCATTTAATAAACTTGCAGAGGTCAAGGATAAAGAAAGGGTCCTAAAAGCAGCAAGAGAAAAGGAACAAATAACATCCAAAGAGCTCCAATATGTCTGGCAGCAGACTTCTCAGTGGAAATCTTACAGGTCCGAAGAGAGTGGCATCACATATTTAAAGTACTGAAAGAAAAAAAATTATCCTTAAATAGTATATCCAATGAAAATATCCTTCAAACATGAAGGAGAAATAGACTTTCCCAGACACACAAAAGCTGAGGGATTTCATCAACATCAGACCTGTCCTACCACAAATGCTGGAGGGAGATCTTCAATCTTCATGAAAAGGATGTTAATGAGTAAGAAGAAATTATCAGAAGGTATAAAACTCACTGGTAATAGCCACAGAAAAACAGACTATTATAGTACTATAACTGTGGTATGCAAACCACTCTTAAGTAAAAAGACTAAATGATGAACCAATAAAAAATAACTACAAGAATTTTTCAAGACATAGTACAGTAAGACATAAAGAGAAACAAAAATGTAAAAAGCAGGGGGATAAAGTTAAAGTGTAGAGTGTTTATTAGTTTTTGCTTGTGTGTGTGTGTGTTTATGTAATGAATGTCATCAGTTTAAAATAATGGGTTATAAGACAGAATTTGGAAGCCTGATGGTAACTACAAATTGAAAAACATAAAACAGATACACAAAAAATAAAATGCAAGAAATCAAACCATAACACCAGAGAAAATCACTTTCACAAAAAGGAATACAGGAATGATGGAAAGAAGAAAGAAAAGACCACAAAGCAACCAGAAAACAACAAAATGATAGGAGTAATCCCCTTCTTATAGATAACAACATTGAATGTAAAGAGACTAAACTCTCCAACGAAAAGACATAGAGTCACTTAATGGATGAAAAAGCAAGACCCAAAGATCTGTTATCTATAAGAAACACACTTTACCTATAAAGATACACACAGAATGAAAATTAAGGGATGGAAAGAGATAGTCCAAGCAAATGGAAACTGAAAAAAGATCAGGAGTAGCTATACTTATATCAGACAAAATAGACTCCAATCCAAACTATAAGAAGAGAGAAAGAAAGTCCTTAATGATAAAGGGACCAATTCAGTAGGGGGCTATAATATTTGTAAATATACATGCAGCCAACACTGGAGCACTCAGATATGTAAAGCAAATATTATTAGAGCTAAACAGAGAGATAGATCTGAATACAATAATAGCTGGAGACTTTAACACCCCACCTTCAGCATTGGACAGATCTTTCAGATACAAAATCAACAAAGAAACATTGGATGTAATCTGCACTATAGACCAAATGGATCTCATAGATATTTACAGAACATTTCATCCAATGGCTAGAGAATACATGTTCTTTTCCTTAGCACATGGATGATTCTCAAGGATACACCCTATGTTAAGTCACAAAACAAGTCTTAAAACATTCAAAAAAATTGAAATAATATCAAGCATCTTCTCTAACCACAATGGAATATAACTAGAAATCAATAATGAGAAATTTTTGCAAACTGTACAAACACATGGAAATTGATATACTCCTGAATGACCAGTGGGTCAGGAAGTAATTAAGAAGGAAATGAAAAAGTTTATTGAAACAAATGTTAATGGAAGCAGAACATATCAAAACCTATGGGATACACTGAAAGCAGTCCTACGAGGGAACTTCATACCTATAAGTTCCTATATCAAAAAAGAAGAAAAACTTCAAATAAATAACCTAATGATGCATCTTAAAGAACTAGAAAGGCAAAAGCAAGCCAAAATTGATGGAAGAAAAGAAATAATAAAGTGCAGAATAAATGAAATTGAAATGAAATGAAAACTATACAAAAGACTGATGAAAGAAAAAGTTGTTTTGAAAAGATAAACAAAATGGACAAACCCTTGCCGGACTAATGAAGAAAAAAGGGAGAAGACCCAAATAAATAAAATCAGAGATTAAAAAGAGAAGACATTACAACTGATTCTGCAGAAATTCAAAGGATCATTAGTGGCTACTATTAACAACTCTACGTCAATAAATTGGAAAATCTAGAGGAAATGGATAAATTCCTAGTCACTTACAACCTACCATTATTGAACCATGAAGAAATCCAAAACCTGAACAGATCAATAACTAGTAATGAGATTTAAACCATAATAAAAAGCATCATAGTAAGGAAAACCCAAGGACCCAATGGCTTCACTGCTAAATTCCACCAAACATTTAAAGAAGAAGTAATACCAATCCTACTCAACTAAAAATATAGAGGAGGAATGAATACTTCCAAATTCATTCTGTGATACCAGAACCAGACAAAGATATATCAAAAAAAGAAAACTACAGGCCAATGTCTCTGAAGAACATTGATGCAGAAATCCTCAAAAGTATACTAGCAAACCAAATTCAACAATACACTAAAAATATCATTCATCATGACCAAGTGGGATTTATCTCAGGGATATAAGGATGGTTCAACATATGCAAAGCAATCAGTGTGATACATCATATCAACAGAATGAAGGATTAAAAACCATATGATCATTTCAATCATTGCTGAAAAAGCATTTGATAACATTCAACATTCCTTCATGATTTAAAAAAACACTCAAAAAACTGAGTTTTTTTTGAGAAGGAACATACCTCAAAATAATAAAAGCTATATACAACATATCCACAGCTAGTATACTGAATGGGGAAAAAGTGAAAACCTTTCCTGTAAGATCTGGAGCACACATGAATATTTACTTCCACTGCTGTCATTCAGTAATAGTACTGGAAGTCCTAGCTAGAGCAATCAGAGAAGGGAAAGAAACAAAGGTCATCCAAGTTGGAAAGAAAAAGGTCCAATTATCCTTGTTTGCAGATGATATGATCTTATATTTGGAAAAACTAAAGACTCCACCAAAAAACTATTAAAACTGATAAACAAATTCAGTAAAGTTGCAGGATACAAAATCAACATACAAAAATTAGGAGCATTTCTATATGCCAACAATGAATTATCTAAAAATGAAATAAAGAAATGTAATCCCATTTACAATAGCCATAAATTAAATACCTAGGAATTACTCAAGGAAGTGAAAGTTCTCTACAATAAAAACTGTAAAACAGGCCAGACGCAGTGGCTCACGCCTGTAATCCCAGCACTTTGGGAGGCCGAGGTGGGCGGATCACAAGGTCAAGAGATCAAGATCATCCTGGCCAACATGGTAAAACCCCATCTCTACTAAAAATACAAAAATTAGCTGGGTGTGGTGGCACATGCCTGTAGTCCTAGCTATTCAGGAGGCTGAAGCAGGAGAATTGCTTGAACCCAGGAGGCGGAGGTTTCAGTGAGCTGAGATCATGCCACTGCACTCCAGCCTGATGACAGAGCCAGACTCTGTCTAAAAAACAAAACAGAACAAAAAAACCTGTAAAACACTAATGAAAGAAATTGAAGAGGACACCAAAAAATAGAAAGATATTCCATGTTCATGGATTAGGATAATCAATATTATTAAAATGTCCATTGTACCCAAAGAAATCTACAGATTCAATGCAATTCCTGTCAAAATACCAATGAGAGTCTTTATAGAAACAAAAAAAAAAAAAACCTAACATTTTTATGGAACCACAAAAAACCCAGAATAGCTAAAGCTATCTTGAACAAAAAGAACACTGAAAGAATCACATTACCTGACCAGATTATACTACAGAGCTATCATAACCAAAAAAGCATGGTATTGACATTAAAAAAGTGTAGACCAGTGGAATATAATAGACAACCAAGAAACAAATCCACATACCTACAGTGATCTATTTTTGACAAAGTTGCCAAATAAATACACTGGGGAAAAAGACAGTGTTTTCTATAAATAAACCAGATATCCGTATACTGAAGAATGAAACTAGACCTGTATCTCTCACCATATACAAAAATCAAATCAAAATCAGTCAAAGACTTAAATAACTAAGACCTCAAACTATGAAGCTACTACAGGAAAACTTTGAAGACACTTTCTAGGACATTGGTCTGGGCAAAAACTTCTTGAATAATAGTGTCCCACAAGCATAGGCAACCAAAGCAAAAATGGACAAATGAGATCACATCAAGTTAAAAAGCCTCTGCATAGCAAAGAAAACAATCAACAAAGTAAAGACACAACCCCACATAGTGGGAGAAAATATTTGCAAACTATCCATCTGACAAAGGATTAATAATCAGAATATAAGGAATTCAAACAACTCAATAGGAAAAAAATCAAATTATCTGATTAAAAAGTGGGCAAAAGATTTGAATTGATATTTCTCAAAAGAAGACAAACAAATGGCAAACAGGCATATGAAAAGGTGCTCAACATCACTGATCATCAGAGAAATGCAGATCAAAATTACAATGAGATATCATCTCACCCCAGTTAAAATGGCTTCTATCCAAAAGATAGGCAATAACAAATGCTGGCAAAGATGTGGAGTAAACTAAACCCTTGTACACTGTTGGTGGGAATGTAAATTAGTACAACCACTATGAAGAACAGTTTGGAGGTTCCTCAAGAAATTAAAAATAATGGCTGGGCATGGTGGCTCAAGCCTGTAATCCCAACACTTTAGGAGTCCAAGGCAAGTGGATCACCTGAGGTCAGGAGTTTGAGACCAGCCTGGCCAACACGGGGAAACCCCGTCTCTACTAAAAATACAAAAAAAAAAAAAAAAATAGCCAGGCATGGTGGCGGACGCCTGTAGTCCCAGCTACTCGGGAGGCTGAGGTAGGGAGAATTGCTTGAACTTGGGAGGTAGAGGTTGCAGTGAGCCAAGATCATGCCACTGCACTCCAGCCTGAGCGTCAAGAGTGAGACTTTGTCTACAAAACACTAAATAAATAAAAATAAATAATGTTACCCCATATGATCCAGCAATCCCACCCCTTGGTATATACCCAAAAGAAAGGCAATCAGTATATTGAAGAAATATCTACACTCCCAAGTTTTTGCATCATAATTTACAATAGCCAAGATTTGGAAGCAACCTAAGTGCCCATACACAGATGAATGGATAAAGAAAATGTGGTACTTATACATAATGGAGTACTATTCAGCCATAAAGAAGAATGAGATCCTGTTATTTGCAACAACTTGGGTGGAATTGGAGGTCACTGTGTTAAGTGAAATAAGCCAGGAAGAGAAAGAAAAATATTCCATGTTATCACATATTTTTGGTATATAAAAATCAAAACAATTGAACTAATGGACATAGGGAGTAGGAAGATGTTTATCAGAGCCTGGGAAGAGTAGTGAGGGGGGTTGGGGATGGAAGTAGGGATGGTTAATGGGTACAATAAAAATAATTAGAATGAATAAGACCTAGTATTTGATAGTACAACAGATTATAGTCAATAATAATCTTATTTTATATTTAAAAATAACTAAAAGTAAAATCGGATTGCTGGTAACATAAAGGATAAAAGTTTAAGGGGATGGCCCTACTCTTCATGATGTGATTATTACACAATGTGTGCTTGTATCAAAATGTCTCATGTACGACATAAAAACATAACATCTACTCTGTACCAACAAAAACTTTAAAAAGAAAGAAATTCTGGAGGCCAGAAGGCAGTGGGCAAATTTTTCAATGTGCTAAAAGAAAAAAACTGTCAACCATGTTTCATATAGCCAGCAAAACTGCCCTTCAAAAATAAGAGAGACGTTAAGGTGTTCCCGGATAAATATAAGCTGAAGACATTCATTACTACTAGACCTGCCTTGCAAGAGGGAGTCCTGCAAGGTAAAATTAAAGAACACCAGACAGTAATTTAAAGCTGTATGAAGAAATAAATGTATCAGTAAGGATATACCATGGATAATTATAAAATCTTGTAGTATTGTGACAATGGTTCGTAACTCAACTTTTGTTTTCTCTTAAGAGACTAATACATTTAATGAAAACAATTATTAGTCTAAAAGCTAATTTGGTTTGTAACCACATTTTGTTTTCTACATAATTTATGGGACTAATGTGTTTAAAAGTAATATTAGTTTATGTTTGGGGGCACAAAGTGTATAAAGATGTAATTTTGTGACAGTAACGGAAAAGTTTGGGGACATAGCTGTAAAGGAGCAGAGTTTAAAGAATATAAAATATGAATAACTTTATATATAGACTGCATCATAAAATAATATCCTGAATAGATTTGGTTAAATAAGTACATTATTAAAATTTCTGTTTCTCTTTAATGTGGGTACTAGAAAATTAAACTTTTAAAGTCGTTTCTGATGGGTTTCTGGGTGTTTCTGATGGGCAGTCAGGGCTGAGAACTGCTGCTCTATGGGGCTGGGTTAAATTTAAGTTTAAATTTTTTTAGCAGGAGTATTTTATAGATGATGCTGTGGACTTCACATTGTATCATATTTGAAGCACACTGGTTGTCCCACTTTTAGTGATTATAAGATCAGGCAGTGGATTCAGGTGGTGGCAGCCTAGTTTCTCCTATGGAAAAGTTCCTGTCAGCCTTTCACTTAATGGCTTAATTGGGTGAGCATTGCCTAAAGCAGTTGATTAATTAGGGTTTGTAATGGGTGATTTCCCAGCTGTTAGTCATTTCATACTTATTGTCTGGAATTAACTATAAAGAAGAACTTTCCCTCGTCAGTTAGGGTTTTTTGGTGGTTGCCCTGAAATTCAGTTCTTATGGAATATTGTTAAGTTTTAGAGTAAGACACTGATGTCCTACCTCTTTTTAATAGTTTCTAATGACATGATGATTTTTGTTTCTTATTTTTCCTCCTTTTATTATTTTGAACTCGTTACAGTTAGAATTCTTTTGCGATGCGAATTAACTTACATAAGATTTATAAATAAAGGGATGATGTCAATGTAGCAAGGAAATCCCTTGATTCATAGGTTAATGTGTCTCAACAAGTGACAGCAGCTGAATCAAAATACACGAATACAGTCAAATACTACAAGCCACCAACAGATGGCATTCTCTCATTGTACATTATCACCTTGCATTCCACTGGTTTCATTTAACTAAGAGTTGGAGGTGCTTGCTCTCTATTTACTCCATCTTTGTGCATTTTTCCCTTGCCTTCATGGCAAGCCTCAACCCCAGCATCCTCAACCCTTCCTTACTCTTCTGTCAAAGGCTTTCAGTTTGTTGTTGTTAAAATCCAGATTTATTGCAATATTTCTTTTCTATATAGGAATTTAACAAACCTTTTAAATTGAGTTTGTAATTTTATTAGGATTGTTATTGTTTTCCTCTGTGTTCTAGTTAGAAAGATGATTAGGTTTTGAATTGTCATCTTCTGATCCTGACCTCCCCATAGGTCACCCATTTTCTGTATGATATTACAAAACACTTCTTGTTTGTTTTGTTTGTTCCTGCATTATAGTAGAAATGTTTTTATTGTGCTTCTATCACTTACATTTCTTTTTATTTTTGATGCTCAAATTGCCCCATTTTTGTCTAACTGAGGCTCCTTCATGTTGAATCTTGTGTCCTTCTAATATGAACCATTTGTTTTTGATAACTCTTACTTTCTAGCACAAGATATCTCAAGCTCATCTTGTATATTTAGTGCCCCACACCTGCATCATTCACTCCTCTAAGGAGCCAGGGTTTATTTTACATTTTAAAATGGGGCAAATAATGAGTCACTTGATTTTTTTTAAGTTCTAAATTACTCATTAATGTCTCTTTCTTCTTAAAGGATAGTGTCAAGTTCTAAAGTGCAGCCAGGGTTGAAAACCATTGCCACTTTCAGAGACTTGTTTAGATTTAGGTTTAACTTTTTGGGCAAGAATATTTCATTGGTAAATAGGTAAATAGCATAATTTTTGGACATCTGTCTCCTTTTAAGGTTGCTTCTTTCAGTATGTTTTCTTTAAAGGGAAATAATTGTAAAGTTATATAAAGTAAATCTTTATCCCATGACTATGTCTAAAGTTAAAAAAGAAAATAACACGAATGAAGAACATTGTAATATTAATTATGAAGAAGTTAGGATATTCACAAGCCATATACATGTTTTCCAATTCCAGGAAGCTTTAAATGAATAAAGAAGAAGAAATTCTCATTACTCCTCTTGGTATTAAATTGCTTTTGTAACTTCTCTGATATTGTTTTATTAACAGATATTTATTGAGAAAGTATGGTGAGTCAGGCCCAGTTCTAGGCGCTGGTGATTCAAGAATGAATTAAACATATAGTTCCTACCCTTATAGAGTTTATGTTGAGTAGAGGGCAAGGACCAACAATAAACAGATAGCATCTGTCAGATACCTCTTCCAAAGTAGTAAAGAGAAGCTGGAGGTAGGCAGTTCTGTTTTCCTGCTTTTCCTAAGGGAGTCAGGGGTTAGAGTATATGTAACACCTTTATCTTTGGTGACTTTCCCTTTCTTTGACCTTCAGTAATTGCTACCTAGGTATTCTTTCCATTAACATAAAATTCTATATTACTATAGTTATTTTCATGAAGATTGATAGCCTATGATTTTCTCAGTGTGCCGTGTCACAAATAGTACTGGAGCACATTTAAGTACTCACAACCAATACTGGAGTACATCTTAAGAATTACACAAGGCCAGGCGCGGTGGTTCATGCCTGTAATCGCAGCACTTTGGGAGGCTGAGGTGGGTGGATCACGAGGTCAAGAGATCAAGACCATCCTGGCCAACATGTTGAAAGCCCGTCTCTACTAAAAGTACAAAAATTAGCTGGGCATGGTGGCGTGTGCCTGTAGTCCCAGCTACTCAGGAGGCTGAGGCAAGAGATCACTTGAACCTGGAAGGCGGAGGTTGCAGTGAGCCAAGATCGTGCCACTGCACTCCAGCCTGGGTGACAGAGCGAGACTCCGTCTCAAAAAAAAAAAAAAAAAAAAAGAATCACTCAAATCAGACAGTAAGTGGTAAGTGGAAAATTACAACAATTTGCTATATTGCTGATGCTAGTAATTTTTCTAGCATCAGAATTGCTCACTCACACTTTCAAAACTTTCCTCATAGCCCAAGGGCTTTAAATATATTATCTTATCAAAATTAAAAATTACTTCAAGTCATGGACCTTTGGAGTTGCATTGGAATATTTGGAACCACAGATGTTACATCCTTAGATTTCAGGGGTTAGATCCTTATAAATGTCCAACAGCTGAAAGTATAACCACATCATGAGCATTGGCACAGCATCTGGGGTGAGGAAGAAGCAAAGTAGAGGGGAGAGGATAACCTTCAAGCCTGGAGCCACAAGAAAAAGAATCAAATAAATGAACAAGAGAATAACTTTGAATTGGCGAAGTATTACTATCAAAGTCTAGAATATGGATTTCTAGATCTTTTAGAAGACCTCGTACCACATTTTCTTTGTTCACTCACTACTGATGGGCACTTATGTTTATTCCATAACTTGGCTGTTGTGAATAGTGCTACAGTGGACATAATTGTGCAGAATCTCTTCAACATACTGATTTCAAATCATTCAGGTACCCAGAAGTGGGATGGCTGGATCATATGGTAATTCTATTTTCAGTTTTTTGAGGAACCACCATGCAGTTTTCCATAATGAATGTACTAATTTACATTCCCACCAACAGTGTAGAAACATCCTCATTTCTCCACTCATCTTTTCTTTTCTTTTTTTTTTTTTTTTGAGACAGGGCCTCTGTCATCCAGGCTGGAGTGCAGTGGCACAATCACAGCTCACTGCAGCCTTGACCTCCAGGCTTAAGTGATCCTACCACCTCAGCCTTTCAAGTAGCTAGGACTACAAGCATGTACCACCTTGCTCAGCTAATTTTTAAAACTTTTTTGTATAGATAGGTTCTCACTGTGTTGTCCAGGCTGGTCTTGAACTTCTGGGCTCAAGTGATCCTCCCAAAGTTCTGAGATTACAGGTGTGAGCCACTGTACCCAGCCAAAATTCATTTATGTTTTATGTACACCTTATACACATAAGTCTGAAGATAATTTATACAATATTTTTTATAATTTTGTGCATGATACAAAATTTTGAGTGTGTTTTAATTGCAACACTTCACATGAGGTCAGGTGTGGAATTTTTCACTGTGGTGTCACTTTGCTTCTGAGAAAGTTGTGGATTCTGGAGCATTTTGGATTTTCAAATTAGGAATGCTCAAGTTGTATATACATTATAGAGGTAGCACAGTAATGATGATCCAGGGAAACCATCACTAAGAAGTTGATATTTGAGCAGGGTTTTTCAGGAGTTCCCCACGTGACCAAGGAATAGAAAGAAAGAAAGGGTATTCTGGGTACAGAGAATAGCACATACAGAAACATGGATGCAAAACATCATGTGAGGAAGACCAGTGAGGTAAAATTTTAAGTCAAGTACTATTTGAAGCAAATCGTTTTTCTGGGAAAACTGAAATAACTTTTATTGGGACTGTTCCATTTTTTACCTGGGATGAGCCTCTATTTAAAAATTAATATTCCGATTGGGCGTGGTGGCTCACAACTGTAATCTCAACACTTTGGGTGGCTGAGGTGGGTGGATCACTTGAGACCAGAAGTTTGAGACCAGCCTGGCCAACATGGTGAAACCCTGTCTCTAGTAAAAATACAAAAAGAAAAAAAAAATTAGCTGGGCGTTGTGGCACATACCTGTAGTCCCAGCTACTTGGGAGGCTGAGGCAGGAGAATTGCTTGAACCCAGGAGGCGGAGGTTGCACTGAACTGAGATTGTGCCACTGCACTCCTGGGCGAAAGAGCAAGACTGTTTCAAAAAAAATTAATATTTCTGTAAAACACCCTTCATTATTAGAGGAGAGAGGTAAATATACCCTTCTTGATGGCTCAAAGTCATGTGATAAATCTTCACAAATTGAATTTTAGCAAATTACATAATGAACAAGTGAGATATAGAAAGCTGTTTTTGAAAGAGACAGTAAATAACTGCATTTTTGCTGAATTTTTTTCAAAAACAATGAGAAAATAATTTCCTCCTGAAACGATATAAAGCGTCCATAGTGAAAAGTCCTTGGTGTTTATAATTAATCCAGAGTCTTATTGTATTGCATTATATTGTATTGCATTGTATTGCTCTGTACTTAGTCAAGATAAACTAATAGACCGGCTGCAGTGGCTCACACCTGTAATCCCAGCACTTTGGGAGGCCAAGGTTGGCGGATCACTTGAGCCCAGGAGTTTGAGACCAGCCTAGACAACAGGGCAAAACCTGGGTCTCTATAAAAGATGCAAAACTTAGCTGGTCATGGTGGTTGCATGCTTGTAGTCCCAGCTACTGGGAGGCTGAGAGGTGGAAGGATCACTTGAGACTCAGAGATTGAGGCTGCAACGAGCCATGATTGTGCTACTGCACTCCAGCCTGGGCGACAGAGCAACCCTGTCTCAAAAAAAATAAAAGATAAATTAAAAATAATCATATGAGTCTTATGAGGGAGGGAAAGTGGGTAAATGGACACAAAAAAAATTAGAAAGAATAAGACCTAGTGTTTGCTAGCACAACAGAGTGACTATAGTCAAAAGTAATTTAATTATACATTTAAAAATAACCAAAAGAGTATTATCAGATTGTTTGTAACACAAAGGTTAAATGCTTGAGGTGATGGATTCCCCATTTACCCTGGTATGATTATTACATGCCTCTGTCAAAATATCTCATGTAACTCATAAATATACACACCTATTATGTACCCACAAAAATTAAAAATACAAATTAAGGCAAGGCATAGTGGCTCACGCCTGTAATCCCAGCACTTTAGGAGGCCTAGGTAGGCGCTCCACCTGAGCCCAGGAGTTTGAGACCAGCCTGGGCAACATAGGGAGACCCCGCCTCAGCAAAGAGTGATGGTGCACACCTGTGGTCCCAGCTATTGGGAGATGGAGGTGGGAGGATCACTTGACCCTGGGAATTTGAGTTTGCAGAGAGCCATGATCGTATCACTGCACTTCACCCTGGGTGACAGATTGAGACCCTACTCAAAATAAATAATGAATAAAATAAAATAAAAATGTTTAAAAAACATAAGAAAAATTATAAATCTAAAAAGAATAAAGCATCAGTGGCAAAATACATATTTATACATAGTTATGAATTATATATTTAGAAGATATAGGAACTTTTCAGGGGTTAGCTAGGTTCCACAGAATAAATTGTATTTATTGACTTTTTCTGTCATTCCCAGAAGGACTTGCTTAAGATGTGGAACTATTTTTCCTTTGAAAAATAAAACAGCTCTTTGAACCTTAACTGAAAACTATAGTTTTGTTTCTAACAATTTTGCAGGAGAGCTAGACTCCATTTTTCAGTTGAGAAGTTTTGGGTTTATAAATCCACAGTATTTTGAATTTACATATATCCATCAAATACACATTCAGGTCAAAAAATTGAGGATATATTTATAGATCACATGAAATAGCCAATTGATAAACTGACACATACGTCAACATAATTACATATAAGAAACAAAATTTTACTTTCAAATGACAGATTTTTATCTGCAGAGTAAAAGATCTTTATGCAAAAGCAAGATAGAGGAGATTCCTCAAGGATCTAGAAGCCTATTAGAAGCGGTAGAGTATAATAAGGAAGGAGAATTTAAATTGTACTTTCTATACTCCCTCTTCTATGAGGATGTTTCTCATGAAAACTACAACAATCACAAAGACTTTTAGATGATTGCTTCTTCACGTATTTTAAGTGTGTCCTCCACTGCCTACCTAATACATTTACTTGATATTCGTTGTGAATATATTTTTTTCGATTGTCATGAAAATGCTGTCCGTGAATATTTTGCAGATTTAATCTAAATTTTTAGTTTAAAACTTTACTTTTTGTTATGAGGTGGTATATGGGAAATCAGCAAGAATCCATATAAGGCCTCAAGCTGGAAAAGTTTTCATTTAGTGGTCATGTGAATTATATGTTGAGGAGATTCAGCAATATGTCCAATATTATGATAACCATTTACAGTGAATAAATATGAAACAAAGCTACCGTTCCCAAGTAGCTTATAATCAAAGTAGAAGATCCATAAAACATTAAAATATTTAAATAATTGATTATTAAACTGTATGAGACTCACCACAAAGCAATACAAGTTGTATCATTGTGAACAGAAGTAGTCTGAAGATCTTTTCGAATGAGGTAGAAAACCAAAAGAACCTTGGAAGATGGATGGAATTTGGATCTTTTGAATAATAATAGGGATATAGTTAATGCTGGGAGAGCAAACACAAGGAGATGATACTTTCAGTGTATAAGTAAACTTGAGTTTTAAATATTTTTCCCTAATAGAGTAGCCTTGCAACTTGCTGTCTCAGTAGCTGTATTTAAGCTTTACAAGTGTCAGAACCTGCCTCATAGTTAGGCTTGACTGGATTATATGTAGCTTAAAATCCATATAAAGAGATCCTTTCTTTAATGGTTTTGAGTCATTGCAGTAATAAAATTAAATTATGTTATTTTGAGAAGCCAAATTCCTAAATAATTCCTATTGAGAATCTAAAGAGAAATTATCTATCTAGAAATTTAGAGGTAGATACCACGGGGAAGTTCTGAAAATTAGCTGTGATAATTCTACTCTTGCTACTTTCATAATAAATTAAACAGTTTTCCTTCAGTGTACCTTCTATAGAATCATTGTCTTAATGAGGGAATGAGAAATTGACTTATAGATAAGTGATAAATAGAATCTATCACATATAAAATAATTCAGTTTTTAGATAGCAGACTAATTTCAGCATTGGTTAGCATTTTAATTAAAGTCAAATGTCACATATTTTAACCTTTATCACTGATTTAATACCATTAAATAATAGCAATTATTGAGTAACTTAAGTTGAAACCATTTTTAAGCTTGGCCAATTAAGAAAAATATCATTATTCTTCATATTAACATTAATTGGATTACCTTTGAGTAGGTTTTGATATTAACTGGGTATATTTCACTTGTTCTAGGGTAAGTGGTAGGATTCTTTGGTTGCAAACAACCACAATCAATTCTTGTGCACAAATAGAATTCATTATAAAGAGATCAGCAGCTCACAGAATGGATAGAAAGACTGGATAAATAGGCTTAGAAAGAAGGAGACTGAGCTACCCCAGAGGGCTGGAAGCAGGAACTGCAGTAATGTCTCTTTGCTGGTACATTCTGTTCAGGGACCCACCACTAAAGTGAATAAACTGCTCTGTTTATTTATTACTCTAAACAGACTCTAGTCAAGATTCAAAAATACAAGGATGAGGTTCTCAACTTAACTTAATTCACTTGCCTGTCCCATAGTGTACTTGAGTGATGAAAGAAAAGGCCTTACACAAGGATTCTCCAGGAACCTTTCCTCTTCATAGTGGCAGAGCAAGTGCCAGGATTTGTTGTCTCCACATTCCTCACAAAAGATGGGAAATAGATGCTGTGTGGGAGGAAAACTACACCTATTCCATTAGCTGAGATCTTTTATCTCCTGTTTCAGAGGACCAGGCAGCTGCTCATAGAAAACATCATTAGGATTTCTAAGGACAAAGGTCTAAAGACAGTACCTTAATTTGTCATTAGGCAAAAATCTCCGTGGACAATAGTTATATAAAAACTGTTGTGGAACTTCAGTTCTCTTTTCCATTTAATGAGGTATAAAACTTTTCACTTTCCAGAAAGAATATATTCTAAATTGGAGGTTGTTAATTACTATTATTAACTGTGTTCTACCAGTGCCATTTCCTCACAGATGCACCTTTGCTTTTCTCACATTCTGCCTGAATATTTCCTGTAAGCCAATTATGACATTGAAATTGAGTTTTCCAGTAATGTTCACTAGATTCCCTCAAGAAATGGAATATATGATAGAGAAAAACCTAAGAGAATCCAAAATAATGGTGGTTTATCATAATAGATTCTCTGGCCAATAATTCCTATTTTTGTTTTGCATGATTTTCCTGTCAGTCTTAAAATTTTCCCAGCCACTCTCTTTGTAAAGCTTTACTGTTTTCATTTTTGAAAAAATGTTTAAGTACTTTAAAAGTCCTTTTAAAAATTTCTTTTCCACTGAAATGAAATTGTGGCCACTAGGCTAAAATCATATCTTACTAGGATACATTCTCACTAACTTTGGCCTATTTTAGTATTCCATCCTGAGACAGAATCTAGTGTTTACATCAGATAATGTTTCCTTGTGGACATAGTGGAACAAGTATTTTTCAGTGCACACAGATACCCCATAAAATCAGAAATATCCATCTGTAGCCTGTTAGAGACATATGAAATATAGTTACTCCATTAGTATCATTGTAAACAGCCAGGGGTGGCATGCAGGCTGATTTTCTTTAGTGCAGTATTGTGCTGCCCTTACCTCACTGACTCACCTCTCTGTTACCCACAACAGGACTTTTATCTGTGGAAGTTAGTGGCAGGCACATATTACTTCTCTGCTTCTGAATTGATGGCTCAGAACATTGGCACACTAAAGCCATGGACTCCTGTTGGAGGATGCAGGTTACCTAAATGGTACTTTAAGGCCTTTTATAGGTAGAGTAAGACCTTTGCTTTTAAATTCTTTTTTAACCATCAACTTAAATGTTGAATTAATCCTGTGACAATGATCAGTTGGTTTTTGAAGTCTGAAATTTTGGCAGAAAGCAAATTCTTTTCTAAGTTGATATTAGGAAGTAACAGTTCTATAAAAATTAAAACCATGGATTGTTATAATGGCTTCATTCTGTAGTTAAAACATTTACAGTGTTTTATACTGCTCAGTGTAGTTGTCATTGATTTAATCATTTTCATGAAGATTTATCAGTAGTCACTTCCATCAAAAACAGTCATGGGATTCAAGCCAGCAACAGTGTGTTAAAAAGAAAAGAAAAAATAGTTATGAGAATCTCATGGATTTTTTTATTTTATATTTTTTTGCAGTCAGTTTTTTTTTCATTTTAATCACTTTTCCTTTACTTGAATTAAAATACTTTAATAGATTGTGTCTGAGTTTTGAAGCTAGGAAATCATACACATGGAATCTTTACTTATTAAATATTTTAATTGGCTTGATAACCTGTATCTTTAAGATATCACTTCCTTTTAATTAAGATATAAAATGCTACTTGGGTCTTTTAGTACTTTAGTAATAATGTGAAAAGATAGTAAGTCTAAATTTCACAAGTAGTGATTTGTTGTAACCAGCGGAAAAAAAATGAAGAACACATATTGCAGGAGAAAGAACAATCATTGTCCCAACCATCCTTGCTGTAGTTCTGTTCACAATCTATTAACAAACCAATTTTATAAGATAAATTTTGGGGGCCTAAATTGATACCATTAGGTTCCTCTGCCATTGTAGAACAGTGAAGACAAAAGCACTCACCATCTTAATATTCACAGGACTGTGCTAAAGAATAATGATTTAAGATCGAGACAAGAGTTAACTGCCCATCTCACCAACCAGTGGCCTTCTCCAGGAGCTCTGGATGTCAATGCTGTTGCCTTGGATACGTTGCTTTACCGAAAACACAATAAACAGTGGTATGAGTAAGTGTAATACTTTTTTTTCCAACTAATTAATAGTTAGTTGTACCAAAACATATGGCTATCTACTTTGGTTTCTCAGTTATTCTTTCTGAACTTATTATTATCTTAGAGCAAAGACAAGATTTCGGACTACTTTGGTAAGGTTAGATTATCTGAGAAATTCTTATGCCATATTGTACCAGCTGTCTACTTTTCCTTTAGTTGAATCTTCAGCCAGTCCTTCAGTTAAATATATGAGCTTGTGTTTAATGAGCCATCTATTTTTGAATTCTATCATTGGTGTGGTATTTGCCTTAGGACTAATTTTCCCACTTGTCATAAAACACAATTTGAAGGAATAGAAAGATATTTACTTGTTCCTGGTGGTTCTGAAGAATTCTATTCATTTTCAATAAATCTGATTTTTAGAAACCGTAGAAGATATAATCACTTCACCTATGGGCCACAAGATCTTTTTCTTATTTCTTTGTCCCGATGTTCAGGACTATTTCATTTAGTTACAGTATCCTAATGTTGAGAGAGCTGCAGAGTCTTAGGCTGTTTTCCTTTAGGTAATCTTCATCTTGAAACTTGTAAGTTGTATTATCCTCTTTTGGCTTTTAGCCACTTTTCCACCTTAATCATTTTTTCACTATTTTTATTTTTCTATCTTAAGCTAATTTTCTGTTTTTCCTGATATCCCTCCCTCTCATCCCCTTCTGTTTGATTTTTTCCCTTCCCCCTCTTTCTCTCTTTTCTCGTATTTTCTCTAGTTTGTCTTTCCTCCCTTTTTCCTATCTCTTTTTGTTTCTTTCTCTACTCTTTTAGAGTCCTTGCTTGTAAATTTCCCTGTTAGAGTCACATATCTATGTGTGCTTGTTTTGGTACCTTTCACTAGGTTATTAGTAGCCAGATATTTCTACAAGGAATATTTTAGTACAAACAATTTCCACCTGCTTTACTCTGTGATGTGTTTTGTCTATCAAAGGCAGAGTTCAAAGTAAATTTGACTATTTGTTATTAAAAATAAGTACTGGAGACTTCAATGCTTTTTCTTGTTTCATTGATTATTAGAGATAAGTAGGAAAAGATGAACACATTATTTGCAGAATAAATCAGTAGAATCTCTTCAACATCTACTAAACCATACTTCTTAGTATGATTCAAGGTACTGACTTTTGATATTTCATAAATTGGGATCTAGTTCCCTTATATGCCCTTATGAAAGTTATTAATAACTAGAATATATCTCATCCTGGTATATAATCTTACCTTCCTGTGGGTTTAATTAATGAAGAATTTATTTTATTTCTATTTTTAATTTATGATTGAAAAATTAAATTTGTTGCAATACTTGGTACACTTACCTTATCTATATATGACACATAAGATGCTCCTGTTTTTTAACTGCAAAAATAGTATAACATTAAATCCTGGTAAGTTAAAAGACTATGCCTTTTTATTTTAATATCCACATGGTCACATTAGATAGAGGTAAAATATTTTAGCCAGAAGATGTGTACACTTCCCAATCTACAGAGTTATCTATTGAGGAGCCAGTAAGAAGTCTAAAGTGGAAGATTTATTTTTAATTTACTTCTGCATCTGCAATAATGGCTGATTTTTACAAAGTATTATAGCAGCAGATAAGGTAATTGTGGTCTCAGAAAAGAAGGCAAGGAAACTTCCTGTTCATCTGTTTAGCATGGATCTAGATTTTATACTTCTTGACTCAGTTATTCCACCAACTTAAGAAGGGGCATCCTAGCATCATTCTTTAATCTGGCCTGTCCTCAGATGTTGGTATTGTTTTAGTATGGCCCTATCTCAAAACTGCTATCCCCAAACAAAAAAGTATGCAGCTAGGGTGTTGTACAGAGATCACTTTATCTAGAGTTTAAAGTCAGGACTGGTAAGTAATCTCTGCTACTTACGTAATGTGTAACACTGAGCAATACTTCCTCTCCTTGCTCTTTTCTTTCTGCACATGTAATACTGGGGATAATACCTGTCTAACAGAATTATAAGGATCAAGTGAGCTAATAAATTGCTAGCATTTAATAGCTAGCTTCTCAGTAAATATTTATACTCTATAAAGTCTTATGTTTCTACTCTAATGTAATCCTGTATCTTCAATGTTTGGAGAGTGTATACCCACCTAACTTCTAAACTTTCTGAACCTTATGTAAAATTAAAGTGAACAACTCATCCCCAGTTGTTCTGAATAAATAAATCCAACTGTCTCATATAAAATGGAGGCTTTGGATTTTCAGAATAGAGGAGTTCACCATAAAAATCACGTTTGAAACCAATCACAGCTTTTCATCAGGATCCAGTTTTTTCTCCCTTCAAACTTTTAATATAAGCCAAGGCTCTTGAACTACCTGATCACTGGCTCCTTTTGATTTGACCAATACCTTAAGTAAGTTCAACAGACATTTATTGAGAAACTGCAAATTATGAAGGAGGTGGCTAAAACCTTTTTAATAAGGAACATTAGCTCTCTTGACAATCTGGAGAAAGAAACTGACCCTATAATTCATTACAGTTTTAATGATAGTAGATGATTTTTCCTGGTAAAGATATGGGATGTCTATAGCTATTTCTCTAGGAACTCTGTAACTTCATTCAACCAGTTAGCCAAAGACAATTTAAGAAGAGAGTGTTAAAAGAAAAACTTTAGACAAATTAAGTTATACAGAGTTTATCTGAGCAAAGGATTCATGAATCAGGCAACGTTCAGAACCAGAAAAGGTTCAGAGAGCTCTGCCCAGCAGTGGATGTAGGCAGCTTTTATAGGCCAAACAAAAGCAAAGTAGAGAATTCATCTGATTGGCTACAGCTAAGCAAATACCTTATTTAGCATGGTGTGATTAGTTTGCTGCCTAGGATTAGCTGAATCTCAGCTGTTTGTAACTAGCTGAAACCTGGCTGTTTGTTACAAAAAATCTCCTGAATTAGGCTTTGGTTTGTTTACTAAGTTAGGTAGCAGTTTGTTACTAGGAACTCAGAGTAGGGGGACAGCCTTAGGCTAATGGCCTCCTGTTTGTTTAACAACAGTGTGTTGTTTGATTTAATGAATTTCTTAGTCTTAAATTAAGCCATTGAATAATTTGGTCATATTGTCACCTACTCATGGAAATGGATCCCTCTCATAATTGAAGATCTTAAATTTATTTCTCTTTACTATGCTGTTTATAAAATATAATTTCGTTTATTTATCGATCACTTAGACCTGGCAAGATTAGTTAGACCCGGCAAGCTATGCTGGATTTTATATCTTTTCCTATATTTCAAACATGATATACATGTTTGAAATATATGCTTTTATAGTAAGCCTAACATGCTTTAACAATTTAACATGATACCATGTAAAAGCCTGTAATACTTTAACTTTAAAAGCCTGTCATGCTTTAACAATGTAACATGATATATTAAATATTTAAAGCATGACAGGCTTACTGTAAAAACCGAACAATAAATAAGTGTATAAAACATGTTCCTTTAACACACACATAGAATAATTATTTACTTATTTGTTTCCAGTAAGTTCTGTTTTAATATCTTTATATATATGTAAAGTCTAGGTCACATGAGTTTGTTAAATAATCCTGGTAGGTTATCTGTTACATAATCTTCATAATCTTATTAGATTATTGCCTAACTCACCCATTCTTATCCCAAAAGATCAGATTCGTTGTCATCATATTTATATTTTCTACTTAAGCTTTTTTAGTCTTTTCAAATTATCATTTCCCAATTTGGCCATAATTCACATTGCAAAATTATTGAGAATCATGAGCTCTTACATGCTTTCATGATCTACTATTTAGGCTTTTAATTTTTTTTTTTTTTTAATGGAGTCTCACTCTGTCGCCAGGCTAGAGTGCAGTGGCACGATCTCGGCTCACCACAACCTTTGCCTCCCGGGTTGAAGTGATTCTCCTGCCTCAGCCTCCCGAGTAGCTGGGACTGCAGGCGCCTGCCACCATACCCAGCTAATTTTTTTTGTATTTTTTAGTAGAGATAGAGTTTCACCATGTTGGCCAGGATGGCCTCGATCTCTTGACCTCATGACCCACCCAAAGTGGGTCTTTGGCCTCCCAAAGTGCTGGGATTACAGGCATGAGCCACCGCGCACGGCTGGCTTTTAATTTTTTATAATGACTTTCACTTCATATGTATTCACAGTTCTCTTTCCCATTCATGTCTTTCAAATATTTTTGGAGTAGGAGACCCTAACTGCAGAAATCTTTTACAACTTGTAAACTGGGCATTGACATAACTCATATATGCCCTTCCCTGTTAGGCTTTCCTTGCATCCTTCTGTTGATTTTAATAAATTAAGAGAATATAGATATTCTCCTGTAGCAAATGATTATTTTGTTCCTTAGACATATTTCTGTGAAAACAAAGAACAAAAAGTACATATCTGTCTCGATGTACATTCATGTGCTTCTGTATATACAACATACATATATTTGTTTTTGGATAATGCTCATCTCCTTCTATGTATCACACTGTCTGTTGCCCAATGACTACTGGATAAATTATTATTAACCTTAACACAATACTGGGCAAATGCATAGATTAATCATTTATTACTTCTGATTATTGATATAAAATATAAGATTGTAGAAAATTAACAAATTCAGGATTATTTCTGAATTTCCTTTTGATTTGCCTTTACTTGATATCCAATCTCATGTATAGATGTTTATATTTAAGGTTTAAAAATGTTCAAATAGTTAGATGTTGAATTTAGTAGATTTTCCCAAATGCCCATGACATAATTCCTACAAGTTTAATTTAAATTATGTTTAACAATGGCTGGGCACAGTGGCTCACATTTGTAATCCTAGCACTTTGGGAGGCCACAGCGGGCGGATCACTTGAGGTCAGGAGTTCGAGACCAGCCTGGCCAACATGGTGAAACCGCATCTCCACTAAAACTACAAAAATTAGCCAGGCATGGTGGCTGACACCTATAATCTCAGCTACTTGGGAGGCTGAGGCAGGAGAATCACTTGAACCTGGGAGGCAGAGGTTGCAGTGAACCAAGATCGTGCCATTGCACTCTAGCCTGGGCAACAGAGTGAGACTCCATCTCAAATAAATAAGTAAATAAATAAATATTATATTTAACAATGGAAAGGTAAAGATTAAACTACAGATTTTTGTATAATTAGAATGAATGACTCTTACTGTCTTGGGTTCTTATTTTGATTAAACTACTTGTATGTAAAAAATTATCTTCTGAGAAAGTAATAGCTGTTAATTGGATTAATGTATCTGCTGAGTTACTTGCAATCTTACTGTGTGATGTTAATGAGTCTAGGATTCTAAGATAGGGCTTAGTTATGGCCTTATAAAGACAGAACTCTTATAGATCAGTTACCGTTACCGCATGACTACAAAATGTTTGTCAGATGGAGCTGTCAGTCACATTGGAAATCAGGTAAAAATGAGGAAACCAAACCCATTCTTAGCCATTACTGAAACAACTGAATTTGTTTCCTCCTAGATAGTGGATTTGTAGTCATTTTCATGCAAAGAAGATATTGTAAGGTACAGTTCTTAATATTTTATTAATGAGGTACTTAATTTTGGGTTGTAATGTTTATTATTGCTTCAGAACATCATCTACCAAATTCTATTTCCATATTCATTGGCATTTGGTTAAGCAAAGTTATAAACTCAGTAATTGTTCACTAACTGTGACAAATTAAAGGGGAGAAAGGCTCTAACACCACTTTGGATTCAGAAAGTGATATTCTAAAAAGAACCTCAGTAGGTCACGCAGAAAGCTCATTTCATGTTACTATTGTCAGAAGCTGCTTTTACAGAGTTTTTTCCCTGCAGTGGGTTGTAGTGTTGGAGATTATTGTAAATGTGTACTGTCAGATTTTTTCAGTCCTTACAATATTCAGATGAATTCTATGTCTTTTTGCTTATGGATATTTTATACTGTTTGTAACTATTTCTATATATAATTTTTTTAAATTTAGAAATACTAACAAGTTTTCTTATGATGAAAAATCAGTGTCAGAAACTCATCTTGAGCTATCATTCAACTTAAAAAGTAAGCCTCCTACCTATTGGGCACAAAAAAAATAATTTGGAAAGGAAATGTATTTATAACTACTTTTTAAATTCCTATGTTCTTGCTTTCCTTTCTAGCTAAAAGAGGTAAGATTTTGGCCGGGCGCAGTGGCTCACACCTGTAATCCCAGCACTTTGAGAGGCCGAGGCGGGAGGATCGTGAGGTCAGGAGATTGAGACCATCCTGGCTAACACGGTGAAACCCCGTCTCTACTAAAAATACAAAAAAAAATAGCCGGGCGTGGTGGCAGGCGCCTGTAATCCCAGCTACTCAGGAGGCTGAGGCAGGAGAATGGCATGAACCCAGCAGGCGGAGCTTGCAGTGAGCGGAGATCGCGCCACTGCACTCCAGCCTGGGCGACAGAGCGAGACTCCGTCTCAAAAAAAAAAAAAAGATTTTAATGAAAATCAAGTGAGATTTTCTGTGATACGATTAAATATAGTTTACATGATCTGTCTCATTAAACAAGGATATTCTTGGAGAATGATTTCTTTCTTTCCTTTTTTTTTTTTTTTTGAGATGGAGTTTCACTCTTGTTGCTCAGACTGGAGTGCAGTGGCACGATCTTGGCTCACTTCAATCTCTGCCTATCAGGTTCAAGCGATTCTCCTGCCTCAGCCTCCCAAGTAGCTGGGATTACAGGCATCTGCCACCACGCCCAGCTAATTTTGTATTTTTAGTAGAGATGGGGTTTCTCCATGTTGGTCAGGCTGGTCTTGAACTCCCGACCTCAGGTGATCCGCCCGCCTTGGCCTCCCAAAGTGCTGGGATTACAGGCACGAGCCACCACGCCCGGCCGGAGAATTATTTCTAATAAAATAGGAAGCCAAATCTTTTCTTCCTATACTAGGGAGTAGATAGCATAGTATTTAAGGAGAGAGAATTAGAGCCAGACTAACAGGTTTAAATCTAATCTCTTTGTGACCCAGTTTATTCTGCCATAAAGTGCAGATAGTAATAATTCTAGCTTCTTATGGTAGTTGTGAGGATGAAATAAGTTCATATATATAATATATGTAGACAAGTGCCCAACATATAGTAAGTGCTATATAAATGTTAGATATCATTTTTATTGCACATTACATAGCTCATATAAATGTTATTTGTTGTAATCATCATAAGTTTCCTGCAATAGTAGAATTTTCTGGTAGTTAAAAATTATTTTAAATAAGGACTTTAATACTATAAGCATTTAAAAGTCATCAAATTATAAAGTGAGAACACTGTATTATAAGCTGGTAAAGTGATTCTGTCACCTCATTCTTCATTTCTTAGAGGGAAAAACAAATATTTACCTGTTGTATATTCATTATGAATATATGTTGTCCATTCGTTATGAAATCCTATAAAATCTTAATAAAATTGATGGAGAATATGTACAAAAGCAATTAAAAATAACTTGTTTTGGTAAAACCTATTGGGCTTTGCCTTTTTTTTAAACAGTCAATCTAGTTTGTTATTCAGTTACTAAAGTAAATTCTTTCCCCCCCTTCCTCCCCATTTTGAATGGAGTCGTGAATTAACATAAAATGGAGACTACATATAAGCATTCAAATCACATTTAATATACATATTTCTGAAAACCTGTAACTAAGTCTACTTTTGTGTATGTGACTAGAGATAACTGTGAAATAGATAATTTAAATTACATGTGCATTCCTATAAAAATTATTGTAAAATATATTTCTAGGAAATTAGATGGTGTTTGGCTACCTTAGGAAATAGATATTGAGGCTGAAAAACATATTCTTTCCCTAGACCACTTATATATGGAAATAATAATTTTGTCCTGTTATGTAAAATGTAACACCAAAGCTGCAATTATCTTTTGAGTTGGGATTATCCTGAAGAACCAAATATGAGGAAAGGTTAATAATAAGCTTTCATTAACTTTCCATTTGTAACTGAATTTATCATCTAATATAATTAACTTTTTATTAGCTTAATAGAAAATGGGCCTCAAAATAGCAACTAGATGAGAGTTTAATCGTCTTGATGTATATTAATACAAACAGGTATTTTATTACCCAGCAGTTTTTAAACTTCTTAATTACAGGAATTTGTAATAATAATTTGTTTTTGTTGCTATATAATCTGTAATAATGTCAAGGCCATCTGTAATAATGTCCAGGCACTGAAGAATTCTGAAGTGCTTAAAAGACACTAGGTCATTATTGTTATGCCAATTTTATATCTTCATTAAGAGTAATCTGAAGATTTTTTGTTCTTTGAAAATTGGTAATAACCAGAAGTTCCCATTTCTTAACCATCTATGTAATCAAAAATTGGTATGAAGATTATGTCTGACAAACTCTTTTTTTTTCCTGTTTTCCAATGGATTAAACAGATATGCCTTGAAAGATGATAGAAAGTATAATGGAGATCATACTGAAGCCAAGAATATGAAGCAAAATTTAGGAGAAATGCTGGGGAGAATTTTAACCAGAAATTTAACATATTGAAAACCATTAAATAACCACTCAAGAAATTATTTTTTTGTGAAAAGAAATTCAAGTAGTATTTCATCCTTGCTTTACAGGAAAAGTTATCAAAGTCTTGACCAGTTATCAGCAGAAGTTAGCCTTTCTCAGACTTCACTAGATCCAGGCCAGTCACAAGAAGGAGATGGAAAACAAGACACATTAAATGTAATGAGTGAAGGTAAGAAAACAAAGAACTATTTGAAAATTACTCTTTTCCTGTACCATCTATATTTTGGTTGCAGATGATTGCCAGAGAATAATAGTGACATCTCTGTTAATCATGCTAGAAATTAAGCAGCCATTATGATTAAAAATGGTCTGCCTTTGTGTCTTTCTCGTGTGTGTGTGGGGGGGGCTAACCTTCTCAAAACACTTGTCTTTGTTACCTTCATTTACTCACTTCCTGTACTTTTTTTTACCCCTGCCAATCTAGCTTTTGTGTCACTTCAATAAAAGGACTCATCAAGGTAATCAGCTATTAACATATTGCAGAGAACTGCTAATGTCAGTTCTATCTTATTCCATTAAACTTCTCAGCAGCTTTTGACACAACTGACCACTTCCTCATTCTTGAATCACTCATGGTACCTGGTTTATTGAGTATTTTAAAAATCTTCAGGAACAAACATAAAAGTGTTTTATTTTTTCCTATTACTGCTTTCAGATGTGCAATATCAGCCTCTCTTCCCATTGGGTTGCATCTTCCCAACATCATTTGGTCCAATTCCCTAACTTTTCAGGCTAGTTTGAATTATATGGTCCCATTTCAGTTTCTAAGACTCAACCTATTGGTTTTAAAACCAGTCATCTATTTGGTTCAAAGCTCTTTTCTTTCTCTCCTTCAGCATAGGTTAAAGCTGTTACTCCAGCACTTTGGATGGCATGAGTTCACTGGTATGATCTGGTTCTCAATCTTTTATCTTTCTTTCTTTCCTCCCAGTTTACAACTTCAGGTATATATGAGAGCTAGGGGAAGAAAGATAATCCCCTACCTCAGGGGAACCTGCATTCCCTTAAGCCTCCAATTTTTACCCTGCCTTCTCTCTTGCAGTAAATATTGGCACTATAGCCATTATCCTAGATTCTATTCTTTCTCCTTACAATTACAGTCAATTTATAAACAAGTCCTGTCAGCTCCCATATAAAACATGCTATATACATTTACTCATAATCTTCTCTATTACTGCAACCTTAGTCTCTGCCACTTGGAGCAAGCTGCTTGCCCCCTCACAGTCCATTCTCCATGTAGCAATCAGTGACCTTTAAAAACTTAGATCAGAAAATATTATAAGCCTGCTTCAGACTCTCCAATGGCTTTCAATGGCAATTAGAATAAAATCCAAACTGCTTTTCCTAGCCTCCTACTTGACCTTGTTCTTGCCAGCATCTGCCTCATTTCATACCATTCTTTTCCTTGTTCTGTGTACCATAGCAAACTGACCTAGCTATTTCTTCAGGCTGGTTCCTGCCTTGACTGTCTTTGCACTTGCTTTTTCCACTGCCCCAGAGCTTCTTTCTTAAGGCCTTTGCGTGGTAGATTCTTTTCAAATGTCATCTTTCTAAAGAAGCTTTCACTGACTGCCATACTGTAAATAGCCACCCCCATCCCCATCTCTGTTCCCAGCCCATGCCAGGCATGCTCTATCATACTGCCATGCATTTTATTATGATTCTTGTCTGTAAACCCCCTCTGAACTGTAAGGTTCATGAGGGTAAAAATCTTATCCATCATTTTCACCAGTGTATGAACTAGAGTCTTGACACAAAATAGGCAACTTATTAAACATTTATTGATCAAGTAACCATATAATGACATAGGATGTGAGGAATAAAGTAGAAATTCATTTAACTAGCAGGCTTAGGCAGTGTAAATATTGTGTCGAACTGAATTTTCTGCTTTCTTTAAGTTGGTTGTTGAAATGTTCTCAAAGGGCCTTAATCTTAATATTTTAATATTTTAGTACTTTTTTTATAAATCCAATAGTAACTTGGATTCACTGTCATAATCCATAATGAGTATATTTTAAAAGCTAATTCATACTATGAATGAATTTATTTATGATGATTCTTCATCTAAAAGACATTTAGGATTTTATTCTAATTTTTAATTATAGGTATTTTGATATCAACAGGACAAGAGTAATAATGAGCATTTTGACACTATAAAAACAACTGTATTGTCTTCAATAATTCAAGGTTTAATAGCAGATTAAAAGTTACTTACAGAGTTTCCATACCCAATTATTTAATAAAATGAGTAAAAATTAACCAAAAATCTACCAACTGCCACCCAACAAGAAAGGAGGCTGCATGATATAATAGACTACAAAAAACTGGTGATCAGGAAGGAAACATGTTCTCATGATGAGTTAGTAAGACTCCTAGAATTCTCAAATCTGATTTTAAAAAACTGAGGAATTTTGGACAGTTGAGACAATGGAGTGATGCAGGTTTGAATCAGCATATCCTATACAAATATAATAAGAGAACAAATAAAACCACACAAAACCCAAGCTTTCAGCATAAACAGCAGACATTAAATAAACTTCAAATTGCCTGGGAGTAGAAAAATAAATACCAAATACAAGCAGGCTCTCATGCTCCTGTAACAAGCTGTGAGCACAGGGGTGGAGGAAAAATTAAACTGTGCAAAAGAAGGAATTGGGATGTTTGTGGCAGGCTTAGATTGATCAAAAATCACCTCTAGAAAGATAAAGTCAACCCTAAGTGTGAACATATGAAAACAGCATTCTGGTAAAGTACATGTGGGATGCAGAGAAGCAGTGTTAAGAAGGTAAATTTAAAGCCAGAAAAGCCATACAGTAAAAACAAACAAACAAACAACAACAACAACAGCATACTTTGGCACACTGATAGGAGGTACTTCCGGCAGCACTCCTCTCAAGGGGGAACGAGCTATGGGGAGTCTGTCCCTTGCAGACCCCTGACCCAGCGACAGATGCATAAAGTACACAGACACACAGATATTCTGCTATGCCAGTCCAGCTGAAGGTCCGAGCTGCTTACGGGCTCTCTGCTGAGTCCTGTAAACAGTTGTGACTCGGCCCTGATCAGCTAGTCCGACTGATTATTCAGTAAGATTAACAAAAGCTTGAGTCAACACCATTAGAGGGTAATTGACATTGTGGGCTTCCTGAGTAAAAGGTACTTAAGCACCCAGGGTACACCAAAGGTTAGTCTTAGAAGGCCATTACATAATGGTAAAGGGATCAATTCAACAAGAAGAGCTAACTATCCTAAATATATATGCACCCAATACAGGAGCACCCAGATTCATAAAGCAAGTCCTTAGTGACCTACAAAGAGACTTAGACTCCCACACAATAATAATGGGAGACTTTAACACCCCACTATCAACATTAGACAGATCAACGAGACAGAAAGTTAACAAGGATACCCAGGAATTGAACTCAGCTCTGCACCAAGCAGACCTAATAGACATCTACAGAACTCTCCACCCCAAATCAACAGAATATACATTCTTTTCAGCACCACACCACACCTATTCCAAAATTGACCACATAGTTGGAAGTAAAGCACTCCTCAGCAAATGTAAAAGAACAGAAACTACAACAAACTGTCTCTCAGACCACAGTGCAATCAAACTAGAACTCAGGACTAAGAAACTCACTCAAAACCGCTCAACTACATGGAAACTGAACAACCTGCTCCTGAGTGACTACTGGGTACATAACGAAATGAAGGCAGAAATAAAGATGTTCTTTGAAACCAACGAGAACAAAGACCCAACATACCAGAATCTCTGGGACACATTCAAAGCAGTGTGTAGAGGGAAATTTATAGCACTAAATGCCCACAAGAGAAAGCAGGAAAGATCCAAAATTGACACCCTAACATCACAATTAAAAGAACTAGAAAAGCAAGAGCAAACACATTCAAAAGCTAGCAGAAGGTAAGAAATAACTAAAATCAGAGCGGAACTGAAGGAAATAGAGACACAAAAAACCCTTCAAAAAATTAATGAATCCAGGAACTGGTTTTTTGAAAACATCAACAAAATCGTTAGACCGCTAGCAAGAATAATAAAGAAGAAAAGAGAGAAGAATCAAATAGATGCAATAAAAAATGATAAAGGGGATATCACCACCGATCTCACAGAAATACAAACTACCATCAGAGAATACTACAAACACCTCTACACAAATAAACTAGAAAATCTAGAAGAAATGGATAAATTCCTCGACACATACACCATCCCATGACTAAACCAGGAAGAAGTTTAATCTCTGAATAGACCAATAACAGGATCTGAAATTGTGACAATAATCAATAGCTTACCAACCAAAAAGAGTCCAGGACCAGATGGATTCACAGCTGAATTCTACCAGAGGTACAAGGAGGAACTGGTACCATTCCTTCTGAAACTATTCCAATCAATAGAAAAAGAGAGAATCCTCCCTAACTCATTTTATGAGGCCAGCATCATCCTGATACCAAAGCCGGGCAGAGACACAACCAAAAAAGAGAATTCTAGACCAATATCCTTGATGAACATTGATGCAAAAATCCTCAATAAAATACTAGCAAACCGAATCCAGCAGCACATCAAAAAGCTTATCCACCATGATCAAGTGGGCTTCATCCCTGGGATGCAAGGCTGGTTCAACATACGCAAATCAATAAATGTAATCCAGCATATAAACAGAACCAAAGACAAAAACCACATGATTATCTCAATAGATGCAGAAAAGGCCTTTGACAAAATTCAACAGCCCTTCATGCTAAAAACTCTCAATAAATTAGGTATTGATGGGACATATCTCAAAATAATAAAGAGCTATCTATGACAAACCCACAGCCAATATCATACTGAATGGGCAAAAACTGGAAGCATTCCCTTTGAAAACTGGCACAAGACAGGGATGCCCTCTCTCACCACTCCTATTCAACATAGTGTTGGAAGTTCTGGCCAGGGCAATTAGGCAGGAGAAGGAAATAAAGGGTATTCAATTAGGAAAAGAGGAAGTCAAATTGTCCCTGTTTGCAGATGACATGATTGTATATCTAGAAAACCCCATTGTCTCAGCCCAAAATCTCCTTAAGCTGATAAGCAACTTCAGCAAAGTCTCAGGATACAAAATCAATGTACAAAACTCACAAGCATTCTTATACACCAATAACAGACAAACAGAGAGCGAAATCATGAGTGAACTCCCATTCACAATTGCTTCAAAGAGAATAAAATACTTAGGAATCCAACTTACAAGGGATGTGAAGGACCTTTTCAAGCAGAACTACAAACCACTGCTCAATGAAATAAAAGAGGATACAAACAAATGGAAGAACACTCCATGCTCATGGGTAGGAAGAGTCAATATTGTGAAAATGGCCATACTGCCCAAGGTAATTTACAGATTCAATGCCACCCCCATCAAGCTACCAATGACTTTCTTCACAGAATTGGAAAAAACTACTTTAAAGTTCATGTGGAATCAAAAAAGAGCCCGCATCGCCAAGTCAATCCTAAGCCAAAAGAACAAAGCCAGAGGCATCACGCTACCTGACTTCAAACTATACTACAATGCTACAGTAACCAAAACAGCATGGTACTGGTACCAAAACAGAGATATAGATCAATGGAACAGAACAGAACCCTCAGAAATAATGCCGCATATCTACAACCATCTGATCTTTGACAAACCTGACAAAAACCAGCAATGGGGAAAGGATTCCCTATTTAATAAATGGTGCTGGGAAAACTGGCTAGCCATATGTAGAAAGCTGAAACTGGATCCCTTCCTTACACCTTATACAAAAATTAATTCAAGATGGATTAAAGACTTACATGTTAGACCTGAAACCATAAAAACCCTAGAAGAAAACCTAGGCAATACCATTCAGGACATAGGCATGGGCAAGGACTTCATGTCTAAAACACCAAAAGCAATGGCAACAAAAGCCAAAATTGACAAATGGGATCTAATTAAACTAAAGAGCTTCTGCACAGCAAAAGAAACTACCATCAGAGTGAACAGGCAACCTACAAAATGGGAGAAAATTTCCGCAACCTACTCATCTGACAAAGGACTAATATCCAGAATCTACAATGAACTCAAACAAATTTACAAGAAAAAAACAACCCCATCAAAAAGTGGGCGAAGGACATGAACAGACACTTCTCAAAAGAAGACATTTATGCAGCCAAAAAACACATGAAAAAATGCTCATCATCACTGGCCATCAGAGAAATGCAAGTCAAAACCACAATGAGATACCGTCTCACACCAGTTAGAATGGCGATCATTAAAAAGTCAGGAAACAACAGGTGCTGGAGAGGATGTGGAAAAATAGGAACACTTTTACACTGTTGGTGGAACTGTAAACTAGTTCAACCATTGTGGAAGTCAGTGTGGCTATTCCTCAGGGATCTAGAACTAGAAATACCATTTGACCCATCCATCCCATTACTGGGTATATACCCAAAGGACTATAAATCATGCTGCTATAAAGACACATGCACACATATGTTTATAGCGGCACTATTCACAATAGCAAAGACTTGGAACCAAGCCAAATGTCCAACAACAATAGACTGGATTAAGAAAATGTGGCACATATACACCATGGAATACTATGCAGCCATAAAAAATTGAGAGTTCATGTCCTTTATAGGGACATGGATGAAACTGGAAACCATCATTCTCAGCAAACTATCGCAAGGACAAAAAACCAAACACTGCATGTTCTCACTCATAGGTGGGAATTGAACAATGAGAACACATGGACACAAGAAGGGGAACATCACACTCCAGGGACTGTTGTGGGGTAGGGGTAGTGGGGAGGGATAGCATTAGGAGATATACCTAATGCTAAATGACGAGTTATTTGGTGCAGCACACCAACATGGCACATGTATACATATGTAACAAACCTGCACATTTTACACATGTACCCTAAAACTTAAAGTATAATAATAATAAAATAAAATTAAAAAAAAAGATCACATGTGTAAACAAGCTAGCTAGCTAAACTACTCTGCCTTTCTTTATTACTATTTTAATTTGTTTAACTAAAGGTAAAGGGATCAGGCCACCTTTAGCCAGATCTATTACCAAAGTTATGCAAACCTCTGGCCTTCCAAGATGATTTATGTCCATTTCTATAACTATCTGTAATATTTTTTCCACAAGCCTGATTGAACCCCAACAGGTACTCTTTTTAAAATTTCATAAACCATCCAAGTCACATAGCCCTTTCCATAGAAATCCTGAGGAGCAAACACACTGTCTATGCAAAACTATTTTTTTTCTTTCTTTAAAATTGAGTATCTTTATTTTTTATTTTTATTTTTTTTAATTTTTTTATTTCCATAAGTTATTGGGAAATAGGGGATGTTTGGTTACATGAGTAAGTTCTTTAGTGGTGATTTATGAGATTTTGGTGCACCCATCACCTGAGCAGTATACACTGCACCCAACTGTAGTCTTTTATCCCACATCCCCTTCCCACCCCTTTCCTCTCAGTCCCCAAACTCCTTTGTCTCTTTCTTATGCTTTTGCATCCTCATAGCTCAGCTGCCACTTATGAGTAAGAAAATACGATGTTTGGTTTTCCATTCCTGAGTTACTTCAGTTAGAATAATAGTCTCTAATCTCATCCAGGTTGCTGTAAATGCCATTAATTCATTCCTTTTTATGAATGAGTAGTATTCCATTTCATATATATACACACACACACACACACACACACACACACACATATATATATACACACTCACCTACATACATACATACATACCAGTTTCTGTATCCACTTGTTGATTGATGGGCATTTGGGTTCGTTATACCTTGCAAAACTAATTTTAAAAAATCACATAAATTGAGAAAAATAATTAAGCCAATGAACTTCACCACCCAGGAAAACAATAGTGAAGCAGGAAAAAAGATGTTATAAAGCCATATAATTTCTGTATCCTATTAAAGTAACTTTTAAAATTGATACATAATGGATATACATATTTTGGGGGTACATGTGATAATTTGATACTTTCATAAAATAAAATCATATAATTTTATTAAATATCCTCCAACAAGCAATTAGTCATAAGACAGAAACATTTCAAATTGGAAATCAAAACCTAAGAACATCAATGTCTAATAAAGAAGAAGAAATGACGTGTCATGTGAGGAACCCAGTGGGAGGTGATTGCATTATTGGGGCAAGTCTTTCCCAGGTTGTTCTCATGATAGTGAATGAGTCTCACAAGATCTGATGGTTTTAAAAAGGGGAGTTTCCCTGCACAAGCTCTCTTGTCTGCCACCATGTGAGATGTGCCTTTCACCTTCCACCATGATTGTGAGGCATCCCCAGTCACATGGAACTGTGAGTCCATTAAACCTCTTTTTTTCACAAATTGCCTAGTCTTGGGTACGTCTTATCAGCAGTGTGAAAGTGGACTAATATAGTAAATTGGTACCAGTAGAGTGGGGCACTGCTGAAAAGATACCCAAACATGTGGAAGGGACTTTGGAACTGGGTTAACAGGCAGAGGTTGGAACAGTTTGGAGAGCTCAGAAGAAGACAGGAAAATGTGGGAAAGTTTGGAACTTCCTAGAGACTTGTTGAATATCTTTGACCAAAATGCTGATAATGATATGGACAATGAAATCCAGGATGAGGTGGTCTCAGATGGAGATGAAGAACTTGTTGGGAACTGGAGCAAAGGTGACTCTTGTTATATTTTAGCAAAGAGACTGGCAGCATTTTGCCCCTGCCATAGAGACTTGTGGAACTTTGAACTTGAAAGAGATGATTTAGGGTATCTGGTGGAAGAAATTTCTAAGCAACAAAGCATTCAAGAGTGATTGGGTGCTGTTAAAGGCATTCAATTTATAAGGGAAGGAGAGCATAAAAGTTCAGAAAATTTGCAGCCTGACAATGTGATAGAAAAGAAAATACCTCCTGCACATGGTGAAACCCTGTCACTACTAAAAATACAAAAAAAAATTAGCTGGGCATGGTGGCGGGTGCCTGTAGTCCCAGCCACTTGGGAGGCTGAGGCAGAAGAAAGGCGTGAACCTGGGAGGTGGAGCTTGCAGTGAGCCGAAATCACACCACACTCCAGCCTGGGTGACAGAGCGAGACTCCATCTCAAAAAAAAAGAAAGAAAAAGAAAATACCATTTTCTGAGGAGAAACTCAAGCCAGCAGAGATTTGCATAAGTAACAAGGAGCCAAATGTTAATCCCCAAGACAATGGGAGAAATGTCTAAGCCCCAAGCCTTGGCAGCTTCCACGTGGTGTTGAGCCTGCAAGTGCACACAAGTCAAGAATTGGGGTTTGGGAACCTCTGCCTAGATTTCAGAAGATGTAGGGAAATACCTGGATGCCCAGGCAGAAGTTTGCTGCAGGGGTGGGGCCCTCATGAAGAACTTCTACCAGGGCAGTGCAGAAGGGAAATGTGGGGTCAGAACCCCCACACAGAGTCCCTACTGGGGCACCACCTAGTGGAGCTGTGAGAAAAGGACCACTGTCCTCCAGATCCCAGAATTGTAGATCCACTGACATCTTGCATCATCCACCCAGAAAAGCCACAGACACTTAGCACCAGCCTGTGAAGGCAGCCGGAAGCGAGGCTGTACTCTGCAAAACCACAGGGGTGGAGCTGCCCAAGACCATGGGAATCCATCCCTTGCATCAGCATGACCTGGATGTGAGACAGGGAGTCAAAGGAGATCATTTTGGAACCTTAAGATTTGTCTGCCCTGCTGGATTCTGGACTTTCTTGGGGTATGTAGCCCCTTTGTTTTGGCCAATTTCTCCAGTTTGGAACAGCTGTATCTACCCAGTTCCTGTACCCTCATTGTATCTAGGAAGTAACTAACTTGCTTTTGATTTATAGGCTCATAGGTAGAAGAAACTTGCCTTGTCTCAGATGACATTGGACTGTGGACTTTTGAATTGATGCTGAAATGAGTTAAGACTTTGAGGGACTGTTGGGAAGGCATGATTAGTTTTGAAATGTTAGGACATGAGACTTGGGAGGGGCCAGGGGAAGAATGATATGGTTTGGCTGTCCCCACCGAAATCTTATCTTGAATTGTAACTCTCACAATTCCCACGTCATGGGAGGAACCTGGTGGGAGGTGATTTAATTACGGGGGCAGATCTTTAGTGTGCTGTTCTCATGATAGTGAATGAGTCTCACGAAATCTGATGGTTTTCAAAAGGGGAGTTTCCCTGCATAAGCTCTCTTCTCTTGTCTGCTGCCATGTGAGATGTGCCTTTCACCTTCCACCATGATCATGAGGCTTCCCCAGTCACGTGAAGTGTGAATCCATTAAACCTCTTTATTTCATACATTTCCAAGTATCAAGTATGCCTTATCAGCAGCGTGAAAATGGACTAATACAAGGTATCTAAAGAAGAATGGATTTGAAAGAAAACTTAATCTAAAACACTGAAGAAAAATGGGAAAACAACCAAGAGAATGAAAATGAGATAAAGAAAGAAGTAAAATGAGTTAGGAAGTGGTTGAATTAGAAAGGCAAGAATATCAAATTTACATGTTTATAGAGTCACTGGAGAAGATAAAATAGTGGAACAGAACTAATACCAAAATCTATCATTCAAGAACAACGTTTGGAAGTAAATGAAGACATAATATACAAATTGAAAGATCTAACCAAGTACTAAAGAAAATTTGCCTGAAGTAATCACCTACAAGACAAATTCTACTAAAATTATTACATAGTAACAATAATGAAAACATACTGGTGACTTCCAGGCAAAAAGATGAAACAAACTAGAAAGGGAGAAAAGAATGAAGTTGGCATTAGATTTGTCTAGTTGTATAAAGGTAACAACTAGAACTAAAATACAAACCTTCCTAAATAATTTTTTTAAAGCAAATATGTCATCTAGAAAGAGAAGCATAGCAAATTTAACAAAGCAAAATAATTTGTCACAGCAGAGAGCCTATCAAAAGAAATTAATGAAATGGCAAACAACATATACCAAGGAGAGAAACAGTAAATATAACTATATACATAAAATTACAACAAAATTATGATTTATTCTGAATGGCTAAATATAAAGGAATAGACAAATATGTAACAGGCAAATAAAAATACAAACAAGGGGCCAGGCATGGTGGCTCATGCCTGTAATCCCAGCACTTTGGGAGGCTGAGGCGGGCAGATCACTTGAGGTCAGGAGTTCGAGACCAGCCTGACCAACATGGTGAAACACTGTCTCTATTAAAAATACAAAATTAGCCAGGTGCGGTGGTGGGCCCCTGTAATCCCAACTACTGGGGAGGCTGAGGCAGGTGAATTGCTTGAACCTGGGAGGCCGAGATTGCAGTGAGCTGAGACTGCGCCACTGCACTCAAGCCTGGGTGCTAGAGTGAGACTCTGTCTCAAAAACAAACAAACAAAACCAAAAAACACAAAGCAGGGTAGCAACCCTTATATCAGATGGGTAGATTTTAAACCAAAATGCATTAAGCATTACAAGGAAAGATATGTTTTAATGCTAAAAAAAATTAAGATATAACAGGATTATACAACAAATAATGATATCCCCCTTTATATAAGGAAACAGAAATCCAGTGACAGTTGAAGACATACTATTCTCAGTATAAGACAAATCAAATAGACAAAAAAGAATATAATACACCTAAACAACATAATTACTAGGGTATATCTTATGCTCTATGGAACTTTATAACCTGAAAATAGATAATATAACTTCTTCTTAAGTACAGATAGAACAGTCTCAAAAATGTTCAGAAGTTAGCTCATAAAGAAAACATAAGCTGGGTGCAGTGGTGCATGCCTGTAATCCCCCAGATACCTGGGTGGATTGTTTGAGCCCAGGAGTTCCTGACCATTCTGGGCAACACAGACCCTATCTCAAGAGAAAAAAGAAAGCAATAAATGTATAAAGTAAAATATTACAAACAGTATTCTCTAATCACAGTGCAAAAGAACCCTAGAAATTATTGATAACTTTTTTTTGTTGTTCAAAAGGGCCCCTCCACCTGGGTATAAACCCATCAAACAACTTGTGGGTAACAGGGAAATATAAGCTGAAATTAAATTTTCTTTTTTAAAATTATTATGTTCAGTAATTATTATACTGTCTTTTTTAAATATCAACTTTTATTTTAGATTCAAAGGGGTGTATTTGCAGGTTTGTTACATGGGTATATTGTGTGATGCTGAGGTTTAGGGTACAATTGATCCCATCACCCAAGTAGTTAGCATAGTACCCAACAGGTAGTTTTTCCACCCTTGCCCCCCACCACACCTCCCCTTCTAGTTGACCCCACTGTCTACCACTGCCATCTTTATATCCATGAGTATTCAGTGTTTAGCTCTCACTTATAAGAGATTATATGTGGTATTTGGTTTTCTATTCCTATGTTAATTCACTTAAGATAATGGCCTCTAGTTTCATCCATGTTGCTGCAAAGGACATGATGTCATTCCTTTTTTATGGCTGCATAGTAGTCCATGGTGTAGATGTACCACATTTTCTTTATCCAGTCCACTGCTGATGGGCTCCTAGGTTGATTCCATGTCTTTGCCATTGTGAATAGTGCTATGATGAACATATGAGTGCATATGTCTTTTTGGCAGAATGATTTATTTTCTTCTGGATATATACCCAGTAATGGGATTGCTGGGTCGAATGGTAATTCTGTTTTAAGTTCTTTGAGAAATCTTCAAATTGCTTTCCACAATGGCTGAACTAATTTGCCAGTAAATAAAAAGGGATTAACAAATGTGTAACAGGCAAATAGAAACACAAAGAAAGCAGCGTAGCAACCCTTATATCATGTCATTTGGTTTAAAATATCAGATTGTAAACCAAAATGCATTCCCTATTCTCAGTCACTTTGCCAACATCTGTTCTTTTTTGACTTTTAAAATAATAGCCATTGTGACTGGTGTGAGATGGTATCTCATTGTGGTTTTGATTTGCGTTTCTCTGATGATTACTGATGATGAGCATATATTCATGATTGTTGACCACTTCTGTGTCTTCTTTTGAGAAGTGTCTTCGTGTCTTTTGCTCACCTCTTAATGGGGTTATTTTTTGCTTGTTTAATGTTTAAGTTCCTTATAGATTCTGGATATCAGACATTTGTTGGATGCAGAGTTTACAAATATTTTCTCCCATTCTGGAGGTTGTCTGTTTACCCTGTTGATAGTTTCTTTTGCTGTGCAGAAGCTCTTTAGTTTAATTAGGTCCCTCTTGTCAATTTTTGGTTTTGTTGCAATTGCTTTTAAGGACTTACGTCATAAATTCTTTTCCTTATGTTTTATTTTTCTGCATATGGCTAGACAGCTATCCCAGCACCATTTATTGAATAGAGAGTCTTTTTCCCATTGCTTACTTTTGTCAACTTTGTCAAACATCAGATGGCTATACATGTGCAGCTTTATTTCTGGGTTCTCTATTCTGTTCCATTGGTCTTTGTGTCTGTATAACAGCACCTTTCTATTTTGGTTACAGCTTGAAGTTAGTTGATGTGATGCTTCTAGCTTTGTTCTTTTTTATTAAGATTGCTTTGGTATTTGTGCTTTTTGGTTCCATATGAACTGTAGGATTTTTTTTCTAATTCTGTGAAAAATGATGTTGGTACTTTAATGGGGATAGCAGTCAATCATGCAATTTGTTCTGTAGGTTTCTTTGGGCAGTATGGTCATTTTCACAGTATTGATTCTTCCAATTTCTAATGGTTTTAGGATCTTATTTGTATCATTCTTGAAGGGCAATTAATTATTTGCTATTTAATTCTAATTTTCAGGTAAGGAAGATACTCCCTCATTACTTGGCCTCTGTGGATCTCTAACGTCAGTGGCAAGTTACAAGTCTCTAACAAGCTTAAAATCTAATGACTACCTTGCAAGTCCTACAACAGAGATGACAAGTCCAGGCCTAACTCCATCCTGAAAATTTTTGTGTAAAAGCCAAAACTTTTTATGTTGTAAATGTTTAATTTACATGTTTGACTGCTGGGAAGACCTTTGAAATTTTATATTGTTCTGGTACATGTCTGAAATTCTATTGCTTGGAGAGAATCCCCTCCAGATAAGAGATTTTGAGTGAAAAACATAATGATCCTGCCATTTTTCATTTTTAAAATTCTTACATTTGTCATTGAGAAAGTTCAAAATGGAATAGGCTTTAAAAAAAAAAAAACTTTCAAAGATCCGCCAAATCATTCATAGCAAATTGTACATATTGTTCAGCTGATTTTTATATATTTAAATACACCTTAGTGGCCAGAGACTGACTTCAAGGTTTTATTCCAGAGACTCCAGAGACTTAAGCTAAGTATTTTTTCATTCTTTCAGATTTTCAAAAAAAAAAAAAAAAAAAGTTAATTTCATTTTTTCATTAATGTCTTCCTAAGTTCTATGCTTTAAATGCCTTGTTTTTAATAACGGGAAAGTTCTCAGCTGCATTTTCACAGTGGCTTATTCAGTTTTTCTTTAATATTTACCATTTGGTATCAATTCAGCATTCCACTTAACATTTTATAAATTCCATAGGAACATGCCTGTTTTGGTAGTTACTGACTTAATTTGTTAGTGCCACAAGGAAAATATTTTACAGTATTTTATGCCATTTAGGCAAAATGAATAAACTGTTTTCCAAGATTTTCTTAAAAGATTATCAATTTAAAAGTATGATCAAGTATGCCTCAAAAACTAGAAACATTTCAAAATGTAGAACAAACGTTGAAAAATTGTTTTGCCAGGAAAGAGTTCAAGTTCAGTTAAGGATTTGAGAGGCTTTTAAACAAGGATCAGTAGGATAGTTATCATATTTACTTAATATATGTCTGATATTCAGTGCTGGTTCTTTTTCCTGTTTGTGCAACAATGAAGTGTGTCATGTGTGTTTTATAGCCTCTATCATTAATCACACCAGAGTCTCATTTTAAAACATTTTAATGTTAAAACATCCCCACACTTATACACAGGTAAAATTAGTTTTTTTTTTTTTAAAGTTGTAATCTGTACTTTTTTTTTTTTGCAATTTTTGAAACAGCTACATTAATCCCTAAAAATCCCACCATACTGAAAATGTATGGCGTGTATTTTCTATAGTAAGTAATATGAGGAAAACATGATTAGCTGTGCCAAAGAAATTTTATACATTGTTTACATGATGAGGCCACAGTACTTACTGAGGACTTCATATGGTTTTTTTGTTTATTATTATTGAGAAAAGAGCTGAGGTTACCACATTCATTCTTTGTGTTAGAAATGTAGGAGTGTGGTGGTTTTCTGCAATATTTAGAGCTTAGTCTCATAATTTGGAATTTAAGATAATAAGTAGTAACAAGGCAAGTCTTTTATGTAAGACAGTCAAACAGTGTCACTTCAGGGACAAAGGCCTGGAAGCCCTTAAAATAAGTTATCTTAGATGTGCCAGAACATATTCAGAGCTTTATTCCTTTAAGCTTAAGGCTTCAATACTTGTAGAAATGCAAATATTCTTGAGAAATGATACATTTTTTGTTCTCAATTTCTCAATTCTACATACCTGATTATGAGTGAAGTATCCAAAGCAGGTTTTCATCAGCATGGGGGATGGAAGGTAGGTATAATATGAGGACAATGGAAACTTTGGGAGAAGGGAGTGAGGAAATGGATAAAGAGAAATTTGAAAATTTTAGGCTGGACTTGAGCACTATTGCTGCTTTCCTATGAACTATCAGAATGTTTAAATGCTTTATCATTCATGGTCCACTCTCAACCAACATTTATTATCCTTTAGTAATTAAACAATGGTTTTACATACATTTTTATAATGTAGAAGGAAATTCAAGATTCCATAATCGTAAAATTTTTCAGATTTGTCTAATGTGTAATTTGTGCATCTTCACATGCTGCTAAATGCAGATTTAAACATTACATCTGAGGATCATGACTTTTCCTCCTTTCTTGGAGATCTTGGTATAAAATTCATCTGCTGTTATAAAATCAGGTTTCTACAGAGTTCGTTTCACACTAAAGGTAGTTTGTTACTGTTTGCATGAGGAAACCATGTATGTCTCAATCTTTAATTTTAGGTGGTAGTGTTTATTGTTCACCCTCCCTCTTGCCTCCAAAAGAATGCTGAATTATACGCCAATATTTCCATGTGTATTCTGTTGCCTTGATGCGTACTATACTTGTTGCATGTATATTAAAAATTTTGTACTATGCATTGGTGGTCTTATTTTGCTTGACAAAAAGTTACCTGATTTAAGTACACTTAACTTTTGTTTCAGCAAATGTGGTAAATATATATTATTTCACACCTAAAATACTAACATGAAAATGGAATGGGAGAAATCCTTATTTCAACTCACATCAAGTTAAATATCCTATTTTTTAAAAGTAACATGATATGCTTTAGAATACACAACATCTATTCAATCAATCAGTACAGTTTAGTAGTGGTTCTGGCAGTGTTACTGATTTAATTATAAAATAGTCATGTTTGTTTTCTCACCTGTAAGAATCATCACTATCTTCTTGGCACCTAAGAGATGGCATCAGGATGATGTAAGCATTAAATAAAATCATATATAAAAGAAGTTCTAAAGAGATAAATGCCAAATGCAAGCTACTACTAATTATGAGTGGCAGAAAAAGTAGATCATAAGTTAGTTGTTAAATCATTAGATTTACATACAGTTTTAAGTGGTTATCAATGTGTCCCAAATTTACAACTTAGAAAACTGCTTTGTTAAAGTTCCTATCATTAGATGAAATGTGCAGATTTTGCTAAACTAAACTAACATATTGGATTACCACTTAAGTGTCACAAGACTGTTGTTCATTCTGCTCTTCTGAAAGCAAAGCAGCTTCGATTTAGTTTTAGCATTTGTCATTTTAACTGATTGATAGGAAAGGGAAGCTAAAATTACCTCTTTTTCATTATGGTACATTTAAAAAGCATATTTTAATACAAACCAAAACTTTTAGATTTTAACATAGATCACCTTATCATAAGCCCCATTTTCCATACTGCTGGGTATCTTCCAAAACCCAAGTCTAACTAACTGTTACAACTTTGCCAAAAAGTTTTTCCTAGGTTTCTCACAGCCTTCTTGTTCCTCCTTAAGCGCACAAGGCCTTAGATTACATTTCCATGTTTACACTTTCCCATGTATACACTTTGTTCAAGCCATATGGACTAAATTCTATTGCCTTATTGAGACTCCCACTTCCCTGCATGTTTACTTATTGGATTGCCTGTCTGTCAGTCCAACTCAGGTTTCCTGACCACTCCCCTTCTCTGCCCCCAGGCTGAGTGAACAACTCCCCATATTTCCCATGACTCCCTTTGTATGTTTCTATCAATCACTCAATCATAGCTCTGAAACCTCCTGTGGCCAGTAACAATATCTGAAATATCTTATCATCTCCAGTGCTTTTTATATACTGCCTACTACATAAAATGTCCCAATAAATGTTGACAGATTAAATATAAAAGCAGTAATATCTTTTATTTAAAAAGTTCATCTTAGAAGAAAATTCAAAAGGGATACAATAAACTTTTCCATATCCCAAAAACTTGTGCCCAAGACAAAAAGAGGGAAGAATTTAAGTTTAGGGGTACATATGCAGGTTTGTTACACAGGTAAACTTTTGTGTCATGGGGATTTATTATACAGATTATTTCATCACCCAGGTATTAAGCCTAGTACCCATTAGTTATTTTTCCTGTTCCTCTCCCTCCTCCCACCCTCCACCCTTTGATAGGCCCCAGTACATGTTGTTCCAAGAGGGAAAAATTTAAAAAACATATGCAGTTAAATAACCATAATGAATAGTTTTCCTAGAAAAAAAAATATTGCCTTTTAAAAAAAATCAAATATGTACTACTTTAAAGGTTGCAACCATCTCATATTGAAAATTAAAGATGTTCCTTCCTAAAATTTTACATTAATCAATTAAATGTTTATGTTAGAAAATTTAACATTAATAGAATAAAAACTGTTTTAGAAACATCACCAAGAACACTGTTGTGGCACATGTTTGCAAATATTGCAATTCCTGCAACATCATATGTATTGAAAAGTCTGGAAAGCCCATGTGGCTGAGAGTTAAATTTATATACTGAAGTAAAACCTGGGAATATTCATCATGCCAATTATAGTTCAATTATTTTATCAGACAGAACTCTGAGAGCAAATTAAAATTTTAAAATTTTACCTATTCCATAGACTGAATTTTTCTAGGTACTATTTTAATACAAATTATTATTATAGCAAAATTCTGAACACTTTTTGGTTGTTAGTATATTTTAAAAGTATTAATATTTCTTTTTACCTCTTAAATATAAAGAAAGCTTCAATTCAGCCTTCTATTCATCCAGATACATTGCATGTATATGTGTTAAAAAAACGACTAGGCAATTAGATTTACTTATCTTACTTTATTCATAAATAAGAATTTTCCTAAGTGCAGTGAGGGGTAGGAGACATGGAAACCTTTCTCATACTTATAGGTGATATTAAACTGAAATATATAACTGCCTTTTGGGAACAGTATTTTTTCTGTTTTCTATGAATTACCCATAAGCATAGCAAAACCAAGATAAATTTAAATTTAATATTGTTAAAGAGCACTGTTCAAGATAAACTTTCATGTATATCACAGTATAGCATTATACAATGATTTTACGTAAAAATATTTAGAAGCACAGTGATGATTTTAAGAAGCCATAAAACATTTTAATGAAATATAAGAAAGTCATGAATATTTATGTGGATATGTATGTTGCAAATTTAAGGTAAATCAACATAGGATAAACACAGAAGATTACATACAAACCCTACATATTTTATTTCTGGTGAAACATATAAACACTTTCCTACTATAGTACAAAATCAATTAGTTCCTCTACCAGCACTAAAGACTTGTCATCTAAATATATTCATTTTAGGGGAGAAAAAAATGCTTCACATTTTTCTAAAATAAAGACTGCAATAAATTAGTGCTTTAAAAAATATATATATATAGGATATAGATCCTAAGAAAATAAAACTAAAGTATAAAAAATGAATAGCATTTCTTTTCCTGCCATCATATCCTTTCTTATCTCATTCCTACATAGAATGAATGATAAGCTAAATTATTTAGACATGTATGGTGACTGAAAGCAATGTCTTCAAGGAAACAGCTTCTTGTTTAGCCTCTTACTCTACCATACTTAGAGTAAAAATCAAAGGATATTTTAGAAATATCTTGTAACTATTGTTGTAGCAATAATCTGTCTTGTTAGAACAACACAATAAAAATGACCTAGAGAATTCCATGAACAATGATACTTGGATTACAAGAGAGCTAAAAATCAGAGGCTATTCCTGTGTGCAAACTATTTTTACCAGTCTAAATACTATATGGTTTACCACTGAACACCCAAGTTTGACTGAAGTGAACATTTGCTACTATCAGTAAAAAACTCCCTCTCTTACAGGAATGGCAGAAATATAGACATTTAGTCATCAAAAATGGCACAATGTACATCACACAAATGATTATATTATGGTTCATAAGGAAAACAGCCACAATTTTGATCAGAGAAATGTTAATACATATGAAGCCTTAAAACAGCAACATGGCGGGGAAGGAGAGGGAGGCGGGAACCTAATGCATTTGAATTAAAGGAAACAGGCAATATTTGGTCGATGTAAACAATGCTATTTAACGAGTGCTTTATCTACTTTACTGAAATACGGAAATACTTATGTACACGATTTAAATGTGCACAAGACTTGGGCTTTTTTCTTCTAGACTATGTACATCATTCAGCACACAATTCAAAAAGTTCTGGTGTATTCAACACACTCCCAGTAAGATTATGTTACACTGAAACATATAATATTAAACTTTCAAGAGACTGCTTTTGATGCTAAGGAGTAATCTATTTTTACAAGAATGCTCAATGGTGGTGATTTCTAGAATATCTTTTTCAATATCACCAAAAATAAGATAAAATTTATTTTAAAATTATGATTTAGAGGTAGAGCTGAAATTATTTATTTAAATTATAGGAAAGAAAGACATAAAATCATTGTGAGAGAATAATGGTGAAAAACATTCTTGCCTAAGAGTCTCCATCTTCTTTGGCTATAGTTGTTGTTTCAAGTTGAAACAGCATCACTAGTATTGCTGCCTTCGAACATTTTGTTTCTGGAAAAAAGCCTTTCCAAATTCATATGTACTGATCATAATGGCACAAGCAGGAGCAATTTTAATTAAGCGAGGAATTAGGCCTGAGAAAAGAATAGGAATAATCAAAACAAATATTTTTTTCTTACCTTATTTTTAAAAATATTATTTTTTGGCTTTATTCTGATAATTATCAAATTAAATGAAGTAATATGTTCAAATCCATAAATTGGTAGAAAAGACTGCTCACTTCCAACATCCTCACTTCAATCCATATTACATTATAGAGAAATTTTTATCTTATTGATAGTAAATCTTTTATTTAACATTTATTTTAACTTATAATAAAGATATTTAGGAGAAAATAAATGTAGTATGTTACCTATAACTTCCTCCTATAAGTTAATTTTAGAAGGTAATATTTTAAAAGTAATCATTCTATTCAATGATTCGGTAAAGCAAGTATTTTTACCTGAAAATAATCCGGAAAATCCATTTTTAGCAACAATGTTCTTCATTATAATCCAGGTTGACATATGCAAAGGCATAGAAACTAAATGTTAAAATAAAGAAATAATGCTATTATAAATAACAATTTAATAATTCCTACTACAGATAACATAGTGTCCATGGCCCTTGCGGATATATCATTTCTTTACCATAAGAAGAGGTTTGTTTACCTAAAAAGCTACTTTAAGTTTTATTTTTAATAGTTAGATTCATTAAAAATAATAAACAGAAAAAGGCTGTATGTTTAAAGATGTATAGGACTGGATGCAATTAAGGAGGAATGTACTGAAGGTTTCTCCTGACTTGATAATGCTTGTTTCTTAAACTTGATGGTAGTTATTTTTTAAACTTTTTCTAGGTCTTAAAAATTTTTCATAATGAAATTTTTAAAAGACAGCTACTTGGGAGGCTGAGGTGGGAAGATCGATCTCTTGAGCTTAAGAGTTCAAGACCAGCCTGGTCTTGAACTCTTAAGTGAGACCCCTATCTCTTAAAAAGTGTATAGAAACCTTCATGGGGTATCCAATGCCAAAGAAAAGTCCTCACAACCATTTTTTCATTCACATTTTATTGTAAATAGTTTTAAAACTTTTTTTTTCTAAAAGGAGTTTCTGAGGAAAACAGCTCATTCTCCCTAGCAGTGTCCTGAGTTATTACTACCTTTCTGAATGGATACGCTATTCTTGAAATAAATTAGACCAGTGCTGTCTCCTTCAAAGGGTTTATTTTAGCTAATAATAACATCTCGCTTATTTGCAACCACTCAAATATCTGGAAGAAAATGAATAAAAACCTAATTTTTTAAAAACTCAGCAAAAGTAGATGTCACTGAAGTATAAACATAAAGCTTATGAATATAATGTTTATAAACAAAATTTGTTTATTTTCGTTTACACACTATTCTAAAAAGCTGCCTTGGCCCACAGACTACTAGATGCAATAAGATTAAAAAAAAGAATTCTAAGAACCAGGCACACTACCATGTAAACAACATGACAGCTAACAGGATGAAGATTTCAATGTCTTGTTTTGAGACCAGCTGAATGAAGGGCAAACAATCCTATACTGCCCTCTCTAGCTTTTTAGAGTGGCTACTCTACAAAAATCAATGTTTACATAGAAGACAACCCTGAATCATTAAACAAGATTAAAGTATGTACCACTAAAGAAGCCTGGGAGAGAAAAGTTAAAGATAAAATGGTATCTTTCAAAAATGACTTTCTAGAATTTTGCCACTTAATGGAGTGTGATTATCTCCAAATTTCATTTATATAAAATATCAGAATCTCTGACTATGAATAAATGAAGACTAAGATAAATGAAGCCTTATGATTTAAGAAGCTGTACTAGCAATAGCATAAGCATAAACATACTAACTACAGCAGCTCAACACTGATTACAAAATATGAATGAAATTTAACTTTCTAAGGAAAGTCAATGACAAGAACTAAGTTGGCAATTTTTACTTCATGTTTAAATTATTTCATTTAAATTTTAAAAACAGGTCAAAGAATGGTGATCAAGCAGCAGGTGTTTCTAATCTTGTAGAACTCATGCCCCAAACTAGTTTCTATTTTAACAGGAAGGTGAAATTAAGAGAATGATAAAAAGAGTATCAACTGAAGGTAAGCCAAGTTCTAGTGGAACCTCAGAAGTGTCTCCTGCCTAACTTTTCAACATTAAAGAGCTACTCCTACAGGTAATAAGCAAATTCTTACATTGTAAAGAAACACTTTTATTATTAAATACTTCAAGCACAGAGAAAATAAATGCTCATTTACTGAATATCCAAATTTATTATATCATAATACCTCTATTTTTCAGATCCAGTTAAAGCCCTCTATATATTCCTCCCCAATTTTATTTTTCCTCCTTCTCAAAGGTAATCATTCTCATCTTTCTTTTTTCATCTTTCTCATGCATTTGTTTAATGTTTACCTCTAAACATATCCAGATGTATACTCACTCTTCTTTGTATACATCTGGAATGTACAGAACAATGTATACTCTTCTTTGTCCTCCTTTTAAACTTTATATAAATGATATCACACTGCACACTTACTTCTGCAATGTGCTTTCAGAATTATCTAGGTTGGTAAGTGTAGCTATATTTTATTCATTTTAATTGCTGCATGGTATTGCATTATATGGATTATAATGATTTATCCATTTTCCTGTAAAGGGACATTTAGGTGATTTCTAACTTTTTGCTGTTTTTAACAATCTTGCCATGGATAGCCTGGTACATGTGCAAAAGTTTCCCTAGGGCACATATCTAGGAGTAGAACTGATAACTCAGAATGGACTCCTTGCTACTGCCAGATTGTTTTCCAAAGTAGCTGTTCCAAAATAATACTCTTACCATCATGGCATAAGGTTCCCAGTGAGCTACATCCTCCCCAACAGTGTAATTTATATAAAATGTTCTCTCACTGCTGTTCCTTGGTATTACTAAAATTGAACATTTTTAATAAGTTTGTTTGGCAAGTATAACCATTTTGTGATACTTTTATTTCTATTTTAAAATAGAAATATAATATAGAAATATTGAAATACGGAAAAATATTGCCTTAAATATTAAAACCAACGTACTATTTATTAAATCTATTAAATACTTAAATTTTAAAATGTTTAAAAATTAAATATTGCTTGAGTAGTGTTTTTTTTTTTCTATAGTTCAATTGTCCAGTTAAGAATAGTGTTTCAAAAATATTAAATGTGTTCAGAGAAAAAGAAGTTTAACCTCTGGAAAACAAGTAAATTTGGGCCAGGTTTAAAAAGCTAAAACCAGAGATTAAATGTTTAAAAATTAATAATATATGACACACTCATAAATTAGGTAAAAGTTATTTCTGTTATAGGATATGGCATTTACTACATGCTAACGTGCTTCTGAATGCAGCCTCTCTTCCAGTAGATTATGAGCTCTTTGAGGATTTGGGTAATTGTCTCATTTATCTGTATATACCAGCATGGTGCCTGACACAGTATAGGTACTCAGTAATTGACTAATGAATGAAGAACAGAAGAAGTGGTCGAAGTAGGCTGACAGATCATATACTTGCATGGAACTATCATTCTATAGTATGACAGATGCAACACTTCATATTTTCTTTTTTGCTTAGAGAGAAGGGATTTGGTATAGCTGAGCTGTGGAACAAAGGAAGTCACTTCTAAATGGAGCTGAGTTACTTCTTGGATAAATAATGTAAACCAAAATAGTAAGTATGGGCTGATTATCACTCAAATTACAAGTGCAATTTCAACTGAAATATATCTTAGTAAACCTTTAAGTAACTGGTTCATAGCTGAAGTAGGCTAACAGATTAAAATTTACCAATGATAATCATGGAAAATTAAAACCCAATTCTTATTTAAGATTTTTCCTTTTAGGTTTAAATGAGGAAACATTAATTAGAAAAAACCAGTGATAGGTAAGAGTTAAATCTAATAAAGAAAGATGGCTCCCTGGTGCCAGTCTCAATGAAGATATATATCACCATCACTTAGGGATCATCTTCAAAATATACAAGCTAGAGTTCCACCTCAGATTCATTAAATGAGAGTTTACTGAGGGTGATGTCCAGCTGTAGGTATATTGAATAAGCACCTCAGGTGACTCCAATGATTAGTTACCAACGTAAGTGGCTCCCAAACTTTAGTGTGCATTAGAATCTACCTGTACAGATTCCCATCTTTTCCCTTATCAACCACCATGACCACCACTACCTCAATGCCACAGTCATTAATCATTTATGCTAAATTACACCAAAAAGAAATTGGTGAAATCCTACTATGTTAAATATTATACTTAAGAGGGGAAATAGAAATTCTGATGAGAAGAAAAGAAGAACGAAACAAAATAATTTTGAACTGTCAAAGGACAGATAGGGCTTAGGTTTCTAGAAGGCTCATGCCTAAAACAGGGAAGTGGGAGAACCCTAATATAATAAAATTTTGATTACCTCCCAGGTTTTCATTAGCTTCTAATATAAGAGGAGAATAGGTATTTGATAGGTCAAAGACAAGGATGTCACCAACATCCATCAGATTCATTTGTAGAGGTTTGTAACCAGCTTCTTTTAACATTATACCTATTTTACTTTTTATGCAAACTATTATAATCATGGGTAGAAGAATTTTTATTTACATTATAATAGTCTTATCACAAGACTTACATAATTTTGTAATAGATAATTTCCCATTGGTTTGCTACACTTTCTAAAGGGAATAAATGATGACAGAGGGATCCTAGTAGAAGCAAATAGGAGTATACGTTTGTTCTAGAAGAAATTACAGGTTATGAAGAAATAAAAATAGATGGGATAATGGGTAGAAAAAATTACAAGAAAGCTTAAAAACAAAATGTGTGTGTGTGTGTGTGTGTGTGTGTATATATATATATATATACATATATATAATCAAAAAATAAGAGAAAAAAGGTTTCCAGTAATTTCCTATCCTTTATCCTGATTTGTCTAAATTTATTTTATTGGTTTACTTGAAAGAAGACTTAAAAGGACAATAAAAATAATAATTTGAAATAGATCTGAAAACAAACTTTAGGAAAAAACATCATAAAACAACTTAGCTTTTAAATGACAAAGATTATTTCTTCTTTATCGCAGGTATCAGACTTAACTGATGGCATTCAAGAAACATTAGACTTTACATTTTCTTAAATTTTTTGTTTTTGTTTAGTTTTTCTGGGTATTCCATTCTAACAGTATATTACTTTCAGTAAAATACACAAAGAATAATGCAGAAGAAAAAATCTTGTTTTCCTTATTTTAGATATCCCTACAATATCTGTAAGGAAAAACAAAAATGGCATCTTAAAAATATTTTAAATTAATTAAACTTACTTTTATGACTTTCATATGTCCAAAGTTGTGTCTGCTTTTGTGTTTTTACTACATCAAATGGTAAAGTTGCAACAGCAGCAAACTATCAGAAAGTAAAATTGATTAATTTCAATCAACCTGTTAATTTTTCCTAAAATATTTTTACATTCTTCTTATTAGTATATTATTTAAGGATAATGAAAACAATAACCGAACTTTAAAATGAAATAATATATATATTTTTAAGTTTTCATTAAAGCAAATAGATATGTATTTCTCACTATACTCAAAAGTAAAAAGCCTCAGAAAAATTCCCTTACTTTCCTGAGGTCACACAGCTACTAGTTGCAGAGCCACAATTCCAACCAAGCCTCTCTGACTCCACTACCAGCATTCACAATTTCTCACGCTCCTTTGTGTTCTATTATTCCTTTACATCACAAGAAGATACAACACATATGTCAAAGCAGAAATTCTCAAGTATCTAGTGAGCATTTAAAAATTTCCAGCAAACGCTTTTAAAATAGAATAAAAAATTAAATTTGAATAAAGAAAATGAATTTTGAACTTTTAACTCTATAAGCCTTTTAAAATAGTTATGTAAATGTTTACATATTAAAATATACTTACAATGGTTCACAAATCACATTTTTTCCTATTAATGATAAAAGCTGGATGCAAATCACATTTTAAATAACTTTTCTCAAAATAATTTACATTTTTTCCACAATGCCTTAATTAAGGGAGTTTTTTTAAAATAATTTAATTCTTTTAGATATGTTGTTGCAATATTTGATACAACAGCCATGCAAGGTTAAAACTGGTATGCATTTTTGCTTCCCAACTCACATTTGGCCAATATGGTCATAAAATGTCCCTCAAAATCACTTATATTTTATTTCACCCCAACAATTTGTTGATGTACGTTCTTGAAATCAGCTTCAAAGATTTCAGGTAAGGTAAAATCAAGGACTGTTTCTCCATCTTCATTATCTATCATGTAGTAGCTACAATGTTATGTAAGCCATTTTTGAAACTCTTTCTAAAATGAGGTGGTTTAGGCTGTTCTGTTTTCTGACAGAAAGCCTGGACACTTACATTCAGGTGTTTTTTCTGTTGCAGACACAAACCTTTATTTGAAAGCTGTCAAAATGCAGCAATTTTCTAGATCATTTAAAAAATCATTTAAAAAAATAAATTTTCTAGGTTAAATAGAAATAGTACAATAGAGGACTTTCCTTCATATTTCTGCAAAACTGGTAAATATCCTAAAGCCATTATTCAACAATACTAATTGGTTTTTTTGTTCAATAGACTTATAATCCACTAGGATTAATTTGAAAGATCTTAGACCTGGGAATATTTATATCTAAGTTTTAAAGTCAACTGCTGTGGCTTCCTTGGCCTAGATTTTCTGAGATATTATTACAATATTTTTCTGCAAGTCTGCATCACTTCACTCTGCTCCTTCGCTATTGTTTTTATGTGGTTCCAGTGTGTTATTGTCTCACTACAAGTTATTACAGATTCATTTTTGGAAGTATGTGGGTATAAAAAAAACTGCCAATGTCATGGTGATATAAATCTGCATAATGAAAGTCTACTACAGGACTTTGATATCATTCTACAGGAAGGTGTGGAAAAAGATAAACTCCCTATTACCCAAAAATGGTAACAAGATTATTTCCTTCCGACTGTAATTTTTGTTCAAATTATTTTAAAAAGTACTTTAGTAGGACAAAATGTTTCCAAAGAAACAGAAATCAGCAGCAGAGGCTAGAAGTGCTTAATGCATATGAGATGACATTGCATGAAATATTACCTAATCAGAGCATTTATTGAATTAATGTATTACAAAATGCTCTAAATAATAAAGCTCTAAAATATTATAACTGTAATGATCTAACAAATCCAAAAGTTTCTCAGAAAAATATGTTTTTGTAACATAAAAACAAATACAGTATATTTAAATTATTTTATTTGCTAATAATTTGTTTCCTTAAAATAGATGGAAAATACTTAGACAAATTTTCAAGCAGTGCAGCCAAAGTGGATCTCAATATACATGAGATGCTATATTTTGTTTTGTTTTAATACAACAATTATTCTTCTGGAATATTAACAACAAAAGAATAAACTTACAGAACCAGACAATGCCCCTGAAGTAAAGTTGATCATAAATGTTGGCTCATATAAACCAGATTTCTCACATAACCACTTCTTTAAAATTTCATAGTTATACCAGTACATTGCTATAAAAACAGAGAATGAAATGAACACATATTTAGAAATAAAATGTGGACTTTAATAAAAGAGTTATGAGGTTATATATTCAGGGGATAGACAAATTCTAACCTTGACATACCTTGCTTTCTACTTAGACACCCACTAGGGTGGGATTTCTTTTTTTAATGCAAAATTCTCAGTAATATTCTAGTAGTCCTATAAACAAAAAAAACTATGCATCAATAAAGTAGGACTATAATTCCAAAACCTGACAAGGACAACGGGACAAAGGAAAAAAGTAAAGGCCAATCTATTGATGATCATAGGTACAGACTTCCTAAAAATAATAATAAAAAACAAACTGAAGTCAGAAATATTTCATAAAACATCATGTACTATGATTAAGTTGGGTTACCCCAGAAATGCAAAGGTATATAATACAAATCTTTAAATGTCATATTACCATGTTAACAAAACCATGGGATCATGTAATGATAATGAAAAAGCATCTGATAAAACGCAACACTCCTTCATTTAAAAGAAACAAATTTCTTGGAAACCTAGAAGTAAAAGGAAACTTCTTTAATTTGATAAAGAACATGCATCAAAAACCTATACCAAAAAATAATTATTAATGGTTAAATGAGATCTATTTTCTTTAAAATGGGAAAAATGATGGGGATGTTCATTATTGTCACTATAATTCAAAAATTCACTGGGCAGCAAGTAAGAAAGAAAAGTTATGATTACAAATGATGATATAAAACAGTTCAATTTACATATATTTTTATATATATCCAAACCAAAAAAATAGTAAGACAAAGCAGAATTTATAACAGAATGTTAAAACATAGCTGGATACAAGCTAATAGAAAAAAATCAATTGCAACTGCACAAGCTACAAAGATTTAATTTTAAAAAATTAAAATAGAGCTTTAAAAATAGCTACTAAAAGCTGGGGGGCAGTGGGGGTATACCTATAACTAAATGTCAAAAAAAAAGAGATGAATACAACCTTGATGAAGAAAAACTTGAATCTCTCCTAAAACAACTTCTTAAAGATTTATTATTAACATAAAGAGATGACATTCCTAGGGAAGAAAAATAAGGTGACATCAAGATTTTTCTTAGCCAAGCATGGTGGCACACGGCTTTGGTCCCAGCTACTCAGGAGGTTGATGTGGGAGGATTACTAGAGCCCTGTAGATAGATCAAGGCTACAGTAAGCCGTGACTGTGCCACTGCACTCCAGCCTGGGCAACAGAGTGAGACCCTGACCAAAAAACAAAAGATTTTTCATAGAGCACTAATAATTCAGTTTGGTACTGGCCTGAAGTCAGAAACATTAACCAGCGAAACAGATCCATGCATACATGAAAATGTTATATGACAGAGACGACACTGCAGATCCCTGAAGCAATTATGGTTATTCAATAGATCAGGGGTCCACGACCCCAGGGCTGAGGATTGGTACTGGTCTGTGTCCCATTAGGAACTGGGCTACACAGCAGGAGGTGAGCGGCGGGTGAGTGAGCATTACCGCCTGAGCTCCACCTCCTGTCAGATCAGCAGTAGCAATATATTCTCATAGAACTCTATTGTTAACTGCGCATGTGAGGGATCTGGGTTGCGTGGTCCTTATGAAAATTTAATGCCTGGTGATCTGAGGTGGAATAGTTTCGTTCTGAAACCAATCACACACGCGCTCATGCACACACACACACAGGCACAATTTTTCCAATCATGGAAAAATTGTCTTCCACAAAACCAGTCCCTGGTGCCCAAAAGGTTGGAGATCACTGCAATAGGTGATGTTGGGACAACCAGCTATCCATGTGGGAGAAAAATGAAATTGAAAACCTATTTCAGTCCAAAACCCCAAATCAATTATGAATAAATGAATGCCAATGAAACAGTGCCCAATCTTATTAATAACCAGGGAAATGCAAATTAAAATGAGATACCACTTTAAATTATTAAACAAAAATTAAGACCTTTGACAATAAAAAAGTTGGAAAGGGTGTGAAGCAGCAGAAAATCTCTTACATTGCTGGTAGGTATGTAGATCATACAATCACTTTGGAAAAGAGTTCTATATTACCTAGTAAAATTTGAAATGTATGTATATCTATGAATCAACAAATCCAATACTGGATAAACTTTCAAAGGTACACCAAGAAACTGATTAAAAATTTTCATAGCAGCACTGTCTTACTTGTTTACTCACATATAAACAAGTAAAAATGAAGAAAACAGTTACATATAACACAAGAATGACTCTTAGGAAAATTTTTTAGTAAAAGGGGATTTTCAAAAATAGGTTAAACTAAACAATATAATGTTTGGCAATAATACATATGTGGGAAAATTAATTCTTTTAATCAAATGAATGGCATTCAATATAGTGGTTACCACTGGGGTTGTGACAGTGAAAGAACGTATTTGTGGTTTCATGATTTTTAAAAGATATTTATATTCTTATTGAGAGTTTCTCTCTAGATAAGTATTTCTTTTGGGTCTTAAAAACTTCTATGATCCACAAGGGAAATGCCACTAAAGTAGGCACATTCTGTAAGTTACTGGTAGATTTACACTTCTCACTTTTCATAATTTTCTCCCTTTTCATAACTGAGTAATCAGTACAATTCCCTACTTGATTTGTAATAGTCTTTTACAGGATAATCATTTAATGGGGAGATGTTTATTTTTAATAACTGAAAAAGTAGGAGCCCATATAATTCCAAAGTGGTCTTAAATGGATTCTATCCTTTGATTTGCAGTAGTTTTACTTATCTTACTAATTGCTTAGAATAATATTAAATGACTTATTTAGAATGTTAAAGGTAGTTTGCATTCTCTGAATATGAATACCCACTAATTAATGTAGAAAAGCAAATTAATCACAAGGAAAAAAAAACAAGCTTGAATAAAAACTATTCATTCAATAAAAGCTTGGAAAGATCTGAGAGCCCAACAATGAAAAAGGAGTTTGTGGTCACTATAGAAAATAACTTACCTTTAATGGTAAAGAGTTAAAAATCTAGTGACAGTAATATTTGAATGAGACAAAGCCATGTAAAATTTAGTAGCTACAAATAAGATAAATCCTACCTGAGAAAGGTACATCTCTAAGAACAGTAGGAGCCCAGCCCCTCCAAAGGGAAATCCAACCATCTTCAGATACTTTCTTGCTGACAAATCGATGCAGTTCCACGTAAGAAAACTTCTTGGACTGCATCTTGGTTCTAATCAATTCTAGTGGACTTATCACAGTTACTGCACCAACTAATACAAACAAGTTAAAAAAAAGAAAACAAAAATAAAGCCATGTACTATGCAAACACATATACTGTAAAAATTAATATTCACAGATTTTATATTTTAAACTTTTAGTCTATAATGTCTGAAAACCTTAAAATTAAATGTGTCATGATGTCAACATAATTGCCACAGATTTTTCCCTTGACAAAGTATTTCTTAAAAATCTATTTTCATATACTTTACTTTTTCTGGTTTCAACTCTCTCAAGGGCAGTTCCAGAAATGTTATAATCAACCAGAACTATGAAAACCAAAGCCCATTCCAGTTACTGCCCCAATAAATCCCACTCCCATTTAGCAGAGTAAACGTTCTTCTGTATAGAGTCAACGTTCCTTATGATAAAACTCTGAATCCCAAAGTTTATAAGGAAAGTGATTCAGGACTTTGGCCTGAATCACGCATGATCCCAGATGACACCTCAGAAGTTCAGGTAAATCAGAACCAACTCTGATGTCACTCTAAAAACTCTGTCCATGATTTGACCAAAATAGGCTGAGCCCATCTCATTCTGATGGTAATCACCATTCCATATGACTTCTGGAGTACCTATACTATATTAACAAATTAATATAAACTATAATGCAAAATATATCATACTAATACTCTATATATTATACAAATTATCTGTGAATGTCACAACTTAAACAGAAGCTCTAAACAGAAATCAAAATGAAAATAAAGATTTATTACTCACATCTGGCTACAATTCCAGCAACAATTGGTATGCAGGTTTCATTTTCTCCTAACTTAGATCTCAGAAGAGCACTTAATTGATCATAGCAGGTAAAATAAATAACTGTGGCAGGAACTGCCATCACTCTGTTAGATCACACAAAAAGATTTGTTCAAAATTATCAAAAGATCCCACATAGTCTTAACTTAAATTCAAATATTATTATATAAGCTAAAAAAGTCTTATATTTTGTGTAAGCTAAAAACTACAATAAATCAGCCTATGAGATCAATTTTTCTTTTAGTTTAAAAATGATTAGTACTTAACTTAGTAGGCAGTAAAAAGATATAAAGTAGGCATTTGCCATCCAAAAGTTTTCATTCCAGTTGTAAAGACAGTTACAATAAATAGCATTAAGTAAGCGCTAGCATGGTGGCACATGCCTGTAATCCCAGCTACTCAGGTAGCTGAGGAACAAGAATCACTTGAACCTGGCAGGCAGAGGTTGCAATGAGCCGAGATCGTGCCACTGCACTCCAGCCTATTTAGGGACAGAGCAAGACTGTCTCTAAATAAATAAATAAATAAAATAAAAATAAAACAAATAGGAAAAGACAAATTAAGACAGACACTTCATCTCCATCTCTGTTTCTGGTCTCCCAGATCTTCTTTCTCATTCATAATTACCATAACATCAGAATCAGCGAAATAAAAAGTACGTGAGAAATTGTAAAACATTTTTGTACTGTGGACCATATATCACTCCTGCTTATAACTAGACATAAATTATAATTAACATCATCAGAATTACATACACTAATTTTAAGGGAATTCTAATGACATACTATTTTAAAAGAAATTATTAAAAGGGAATTATTAAATTCAAACACAAAGTTGCAGGTACTGCCATGTCAATAAATATTAGTGCAACAAGAAACTAGTCCATGTTTATGATGTAACTAAAGGACATTCACAGACTATAAATTGGAATGCCTAATGTTATATGGTGGACTTTGCTGCTGAGAATTTAGGAGCAGGACTGACTGGTGGGGTATCGGATCTGCCACTAACTTTAAACCTTAAACATTGTTTAAAATAAATGCCTCAAATTGACTAATTTCCTCCATTAAAAGTATAAAGTTCTTGGGAATAAATGAGACAGCAAAAGCCAAGTTATTATTTTACATTTTTACATTCAATATTAACAGTTTATCATATTAATTCATGTAATCGCCAGGCAGTAGACAATTAGAATTACCTGGAGAAAGGAAAGTATACATTTTGCAATATATCATACAGCTTTAGTAAAATGAACAAATAAACACCAAAGTCTTTATTTCTGAACATGAAAAAAATTACCATATGCTTGTGTAGCAAAGACAACACAGCAGGCTTGGTTGCTCAAACCTTATATAACTTCAGGAGGGCCTATGTGCATGCCTGACCTCTGGACAACTCGTGAGAATATATCCCCAGGAGTATTCCCCATTAGAAGGTTTTTTGTATGTCTGAAGCACTAAACCAACTTGTCCAGGTTGATCTGTACACTGCGATTTATAGTACACTTCTTTCCTTCTGTGGGTTTGAAGTTTTGCTCATCACAACTGGCCTAAAAGACAGAATGTATCCATATAACCCATGCTCAATAAAAGCCCTACACTCAAAACTCAAATGGGTTTCCCAAGGCAGAAGCACTTTGTATACTTCACAGCTCACTGATAGAAGGATAAGCACATCCTGTGCAATGCCATAAGGGAGGACTTTGGAAGCCTATTTCTGGACAACTCCTGATGTGCCTTTTTCCCTTACCGATTCTGTTTTCTATCCTTTTGCTGTAATAAACCGTATCTGTGAATGTAACCTCTTCAGGTCCTGCAAGTCCTTCTAGTACATCATCAAACATGTGGGTGGCTGTGAGGCTTAAAAAACAATACCTCAGAAAATGAAAGCATTCTAATATTAAAAATGCAAGACTTTGTCCAACCATGCTGATTATAGGATAAAATAACAATCATTATTTAGTAGAAAAAACATTAAATTTCAACTTACAGGGTAGGAGGAAGGCCACTCCATAGAGATTTAATGCCCTCATTTCGAATGATTTTAAAAAATGCATCCTAAAGTTATAATAGAAAAAAAGTAATCAAAATATATCTTTAAACCTTTTATACAAAAATTTATACTGATGATTGGTAATTTCATTCTTTCAGGTATTTATATCTAAAAAAATAAGCTTTTTGGATTTATGTATGTCCATTCTTTTTAAAAAGGGAATTTTAACACAATTAAAATGAAGCATTTCTGGATGATACTAACTTCTTACAGAATGAAGTCTATATTACTCAGCTCTAGATTGTTCTACTAAGAGCTTAGAAAAAAAGCTTTAGAAAAGATTATTATAAGAAAGGAAGTAGAGCAAAAGCAGAGAACTGGTTAAACTTGCTTAAGTATGAAATTAGAGAAAATATTAAAATGTGCTATGTGAAATCTTTGGAGAGGAACCAAAAGTAGGCAGAGCTGAAGAGAAGTCTTCTATTAACAGACAGACTCTTACAATTTGATAACAAAAAGATAAAGTAATTAAAAATTGGCTAAGGATTTGAATATATATTTCTCCAAAGAATACATACAAATGGCCAATAAGCACACGAAAAACTGTTTGGCTGCATGCAGTGGCTCAGGCCTGTAATCCCAGCACTTTGGAAGGCAGGAGACCCCTTGAGCCCAGGAGTTCGACATCAGCCTGGGCAATATAGTTAGAACTTATCTCTACAAAAAGCTAAAAAATTTGCTGGGCATGGTGACGCACTCCTGTGGTCCCAGCTACTTGGGAGTCTGAGGTGGGAGGACTGCTTCAGCCCAGCAGGGAGAGGCTGCACTGAGCTGAGATCACACCACTGCACTCCAGGCCTGGGCAACAGAGTGAGACCCTGTCTCAAAAAAAAAAAAGAAAAGAAAAATAGAAAAAGGAAAAATGTTCATCATTGATTATTATGAAAATGCAAAGCAAAACTACAAATGAGATGTGACTTCATACCTACTAAATAAGCTAAAATTATAGAGACAGACAATAATAAATTCTGGTGAAAATGTGAAGAAATTGGAACCCTTAGATACTACTGGTGAGAATACAGAATGGTGTAGCTACTTTAGAAAATAGCCTAGCAGTTTCTCAGAAGGTTAAACATAGTTATCACATGACTCAGTAATTTCAACTCCAGTTACATTCTGAGGGAAATTAAAACACATATTCACATAAGGTTATATCCAAGAGAAATTAAAACACATGTTCACACAGAAACATGAATGTCCATAGAATTAATTATTCCAAAAAGTAGAAACAACCCAAATGTCTATCAAATGATGAATGAATAAATTAAATGTAATATATTCACATAATATTACTTGGCAATAAAAGAAATAAAATACTGATACATACTACAACATGGATGACTCTTAAAACACTATGCTAAGTAAAAGACATTAGTCACAAAGGACTGCATATTTTCCCAGCTACGGGAACCCTAGTAAGACAGAAAACTTTTAGACAATAACCACTCTGCTCTAGCCAAACACCAAAGTGAAACTTGTGGCACCACCCAGACCCATATCAGCAAAGGCCAAGTAGGTAGCCTAGACTTCCACCAATGTAAGGCTGACAGAAGGTCAATAAGGAACCAAGATTTTTACCCCTACCAGGTCAGCAATAAGGCTCCTTTGTCCCTCTGCTAGGGTGGTGTCACAGGAGGAATAGTGGAGAGTCACTACTTTCACGATCACCCAGCAATGAGACTACCCCACTACACCGTCAGTGGAAACCATATAGAAAGCCAGAATTCCCACACATGCTCAAGAGCAAAAGAGGTCTTCCCTCACACTGTGTGTCAATAGAGGCTGGGTGGGGAACCTGGACTTCTAACGCTACCCGGCAGTAACAAGATGACATCCTTTCTTCCCCATGGAAGCAATGACAGAAAAAGACAGCTAAAATAGAATGTTTTAAGTGAGATTAAAGAGTTTAATGGAATGCTAAAAAATGTTCCAGTAACTTACAAAGGAAGGCAGGAAAGGCAAAACAGAAATAGAAAACACAACAAAGAGAAAATTTTTTTAAAAAGATAGGCTTAAGTCCTACTCTCTAATTGCATTATAATAGTTAAACTAAGTATACTAATTAAAAGGTAAAAACTGACAGAGTGAAATTAAAACATGACTCAATTTTATGCTGTCTAAAAGAAATTCACTTCAATTATAATGTCATAAGCAGGTTGAAAATGGATTGAAAGACTCAACACATTAAAGATGTTATTACCCTCCAAATTAACATACAAGTTGAATGCCATTCCAATAAATACCCTGGCAATATTTTTTTGTAAATATAAACAGGATTATGCTAAGATTTATGTGGAAAGACAAAGGAACTTTGGGAATAGCGAAAACAACTTTGAAAAAAAAATAAATAAATAAGGACCAGATGCTGTGTCTCACGCCGGTATCTCAGCACTTTGGGAGGCCACGGCAGGAGGACTGCTTGAGCCCAGGAGTGTGAGACTAGCCTGGGCAACATAGTGAGACCCTGTCTCTACAAAAAATAAATCACAGTGGCACATGCCTATAGTCCCAGCTATTTGGGAGACGGAGGTGGGAGAATCTCTTGAGGCGTACAGATTGAGGAAGCAGTGAGTCATGATTGCTCCACTGCACTCCAGCCTAGGTGACAGAGCGAGGCCTTGTCTCAAAAAAAGAAAAAGAAATATAAAAATAAAGTGAGAGGAATCAGTGTACCTAATTTCAAGACTTACAGGTGCAATAATTAGGACTGTGGTATTGACAGAGTGACAGACACAGAGATAAATGGAACAGAATAGAAAACTCAGAAATAGACAGACCCAATATGCCCCACTGATTTTTAACAAAGGTGCAAAAAGCAACTCAATGGAGGAAATTACAGCCATTTCCACAAATGCAAGTGGACACCCATAGGCAGCAACAACAAACAAACCTCAACCACAGTCTCATGCCCTACATAAAACTAACTCAAAATGGATCAAGGACTTAAATAAAATTTTTATGAAAAAGTCTTCAGAGTGTAACAGTAGATAAAAAGCTCTTAGCCTTGATACCAAAAGCATGACCTATAAAAGATATTAATAAATTGAATTTTGTAAAAATTAAAAAGTTTTACCCTGTGAAAGACCATGTTTAAGAGGATGAAAAGACAAACTAGAAGTGGAAAAAAATATTTGCAAACCACACATTCAACAAAATACTAGTATCTAGAACATATAAAGAATTATCAAAATTCAACAGTAAAACTACAAACAATTTAATTAGAAAATGGGCAAAAGACATGAAAGCCTTTTTACTGAAGAGGGAAATAAGCATATTAAAAGATGTTCAACATCATTAGCCACTAGGGAAATGCAAATTAAAACCACAGTGAGATATCTCTACACATATATCATAACTGGTAAAATAAAAGTAGTGACAACATCAAAACACTAGTGAAGATGTGGAGAAATTGGATCAGTCACACAGTGCTAATGAAAATGTAAAATGGTAGAACCAGTGTAGAAAACAGGTTAGGAGTTGCTTAAACTATAAACATGTAACTACCATATGACTCAGCAACTGTATTCCCTAAGGCATTTTTCCCAGAGTAAGTGAATGTTTGTAGCAGCTTTATTCATAATAGCCAAAATCTGGAAAAAACTCTGAAAATAAACTGTATTATATCTACACCATGAAATAATCTATATCATGAGCAATAAAAAGGAACAAATGATTGACACATGCAACAACCTGGATGAATCACCAGGTAATTATGCTATGTAAAAAATGCCAACCCCAAAAGGTTATATATGTCATGATTCCATTTATACAACACTCTTGAAATGACAAAATTATATAAATGAAGAACAAATTAGTAGTTGCCAGGGCTTAAGGAGTTGGTGAGAACACAACGGAAATGGGTGTGGCTCTAAAAAAGGAAACAGAAAGAATCCTTGTGATAATGAAATTATTATTTTAATTGTATCAATCAATGTCAAAATCCTAGTGGTGACACTATTAGTTTTGTAAGATGGTACCACTGGGGGAAACTAAGAAAAGGGTACATGAAATCTGTCTGTATATATTTTTTTCATTTTATATTATCTCAAAATAAAAATGTTTAGTTTTTTAAAAAGTTACCTCCCCTTTTTTACACAAAACCATGAACCTATGAAAAGGTTAACAAAGGGTTAAAAGCAAAGAAGTAGTTCCCTGTTCTCAGTTTAATATGATTCTTAACCCTCTTGCAATTAGAAAATATTTCACATATAAGATTAAATAGAAAATATACTGTGATTCTAAGGAATATAATCACCTTACCAATGTTCCCTGGAAATTTCCTGGCTTCTTATACCATAGTTTGTTGCCTCCCTCTTCACAGACACATAGATGATCCATGAGTCCATTACTATATACAAAACATTTTCCTAACAAAGAAGATTCCAACAACCAACAATTACCTCACATAACTGTTATTATTTTTACAGATGAACAAATTGACATCACAATGAGGAAACTAGAAAATTACGAAAAGAGAAACAATCTTGAAAAAGATAAATAAACATCTCTACTTTTTAGGATGAAACAGACAAAATTAATTTGATTTGCTTAATGCTACTGCAATGCATTCTAAACTCAGAGTTGTTAAAAGTAACTGTATATTAGGCCGGTGTAATCCCAGCACTTTGGGAGGCCGAGGCAGGCGGATCATGAGGTCAGGAGATCGAGACCATCCTGGCTAACACAGTGAAACCCTGTTTCTACTAAAAATACAAAAAATTAGCTGGGCGTGGTGGCGGGCGCCTGTAGTCCCAGCTACTCGGGAGGCTGAGGCAGGAGAATGGCGTGAACCCGGGAGGCAGAGCTTGCAGTGAGCCAAGATCGCGCCACTGCACTCCAGCCTGGGCAACAGAGCAAGACTGTCTCAAAAAAAAAAAAAAAAAAAAAAGTAACTGTAAATTAGTGGATTTATGTTTTCAGAACTGCAATAAGAAAATGGCTGGGCATGGTGGCTCATGCCTGTAATCCCAGCACTTTGGGAGGCCAAGGCCAGGGGACCACTTGAGGCCAGTTTGATTTCAGCCTGGGCTACACAGTGAGCCTCCATCTCTACAAAAAAATTTTAAAAATCAGCTGGGTGTGATGGCACGTGCCTGTAGTCCCAGCTACTCAGGAGGCTGAAGTGGGAAGATCACCTGAGCCCAGGAGGTCAAGGCTGCAGTGAGCTATGATCACACTACTACACTCCAGCCTGGGTGACAGAGTAAGACCCAGTCTCAAAAAAAAAAAAAAAAAAGGACACAAAAATAACTTCTTTTAAGTTATCTGAGGGAATGAAGAAGGAAGATAAAAGACGAAAACCCATTTAGAGAAGGGAACATGGACGCATATCTTCTCTATTTGACCAGAAGAAAAATCTGTGGTATGCAAGGGAAATTCAGACAAAACTAGAATTTTTTTTTAAATGTCATTCTCAATGTACATAATGCTATGCTTTGTCTCTTTTTCTGTATCTGTACTGTACTGCTCAGTCTAGCCATTTGTCACATTCCACCTAATGTAGTACAACTTTCTCTAATACCAACTTCTTCCCACTTACTGGACTAACTGTTGCCAAAATTGTCTTCTCTGCCCAACAGTATGTAAAAATACAAAGCTGTGAATTTTGTAATACTTAGGTCTGAGTGTTTCCTTCTGCTTTTATGGCTTTCTTTAATGTATAGGAAATTACCTTTTCAGCATCTTCCTACAATCAATCTATCCTTTCATTCATCTAAAATACCAGGGCTGTTCATTCCATCTCACCACTCTGAATTCAACACAGTGGCTTTATATCTGAGCCAATTTTCTCACAGTCCAAACACGTGTTTTCTGCCACTTAAAATATGGTTGCAATGCCATTATCTTTATAAACCTATAAAATCTAAGGAATTGCGAATTTTGCCTATCTTATAAAAATACATCATTATTTGTCTCAAATTCTACATAAACTACTATCCAGAAATTAACCAAGCTGTCTGATAAAATAATAAATTTCCAATCACTATATTCAAGCAATAGTTGTATGATGGTCATGAATGCTCTAACATGGGCACAACTTTTGGACACAGGAGTAAGCTGGATTCTAAGGTCCCTCACAAATATAATTCTGTTCTTACCTCTGAGGCACAAATACAAATACATAACCATCCTTTGCTTTAATTAGTAGGTCCATATAAATATTATGTATTTATTTGCTTTTTGCCTACACCTCATCACGTACAACTAAATGGTGAAAAAAAAAGTTTTTCATGAGGATAAAGAGGCATCAATTTTAATAAATTAGCAAATGAATGTTAGGCAAAAAAAAAAACCACAGGAACATTTAAAAATCAAACATAACATTTTTAGGGCAATTAGTACACATACCTTTGGGGAGTGGGTTGTTTTGGGCTTGGAGTCTAATTTTAACAACATCCAGGGGTGTCACTATGAAGATATGTTAAGTTTCAATTAGCGAGTGGTATCTGTAAATTGGATAGATGTTTTACACAGAACACAAAATACATTGATTCATACTTTTCCTCATGGCTATATAATTGGTAAGCTTATTTATCTTAAAGTAGTCTTGAATGTAACATTCTAATTTTTTTGCCCTTAAATTTTGTTAATCAGTGAAAGACAGACGAATTACTTCTCTCATGAGTACTAAACTGTTATTTGTAATATTCCTACAACTATCATTACATTAGCATTAAAGTCAGTATTTATAAGAAAATATGATTTCTAATATAAGAAGTAAAAGTTCCAAAAGACTTTGAGAATAACTTTCTATAAGTAATCAATAGCCAAATGATATTAGTCTTCCCAATCTGTTAAATTTACCTGTATCAAATAAGAGGTACAGATAATAAAAATTTGAGTAAACTAGTCATAAAACATCTTTAGCACTAAGTTATGTTATTCCATTTGGGCATAGCACAGCAAAGGAAAATAGTTTTAATATGCATGCTATATTTTATCCAAGTAGAAACAAATGCCAAATAATGTTTCTAAGAAAACTTTTCCTCATCTTGAGAATGATGATAATTATATTAGATGATCTCTATGACCTTTATAACTCAAATTCTGACCTGAAAATACATCATAAGCAATTAATTTATTTGTTCTAATCATTTGTTATTTACATAAACTAGCCAACTTAAAAATCATTAAAATGCTAAACTATCACCTAACTGTGTCATTTGGCTACATCTACAAGAAGCTGACTGTAAGAAACAGAAAACTGTGAACCAGAGAAATTTAAGAAATTCCGTTAATGCAAAGTAAAGATTATTTGTAATTGTTACGAACATAAATTGTGAAAATTCTGTATTATTCATTATGCTAATATTTTATTCCATCTTCTTGCTTTCTATTATAGACATGGGGAATCAGAAAAGTTTAATGTTGATAGGGACCCAAAAGAAATCCCAGTTATAAGCCCCTAATTTACAGATGAAATAATGAAGTTCAAATAAAAGTTAGATACTGTTCCCAAGTGTATTCACCGTGAGAATGGCAAAGCAAGGACTCAAGTCTCTTGAATCTCTGTCCAGGGTTGTTTTCATATAATAATATGATGAAACATTCATGGATCATAAATGATAGTATGTGTTGCAGGAAGTCAGGGATCCTGAATGGAGGGACCAGGTGGAGCCGCAGCAAAGGAACATAAATTCTGAAGATTTCATGGACATTTACCAGTTCCCAAATAATACTTTCATAATTTCTTACCCCTGTCTTACTTTAATCTCTTAATCCTGTTATTTTTATAAGCTAAGGATGTACATCACATCAGGGCCACTATGATAATTGTGATAACTGTACAAATTGATTGTAAAACATGTATGTTTGAACAATATGAAATAAGTGCACCTTGAAAAAGAACAGAATAACAGCGATTTTAGGGAACAAGGGAAGACAACCATAAGGTCTGACTGCCCGCAGGGTCGGGCAAAATAGAGCCATATTTTTCTTCTTGCAGATAGCCTATAAACGGACATGCAAGTAGGGAAGATATTGCTAAATTATTTTCCTAGCAAGGAATATTAATAATTCATACCCTGGGGAAGGAATGCATTCCTGGTGGGAGGTCTATACATGGCCACTCTGGGAGTGTCTGTCTTATGCCGTTGAGATAAAGACTGAAATACGCCCTGGTCTCCTGCAGTACCCTCAGGCTTACTAGGATTGGGCAACTCCACCCTGGTAAATTTGAGGTCAGACTGGATCTCTGCTCTCAAACCCTCTTTTCTGTTGTTTAAGATGTTTATCAAGACAAAACGTGCACTGCTGAACATAGACCCTTATCAGTAATTCTGCTTTTGCCCTTTGCCTTGTGATCTTTGCTGGACCCTTATCAGGAGTCTGTGATTTTGCCCTTGTCCTGTTTCCTCAGAAGCATGTGATTTTTGTTCTCCTTTTTACCCTTTGAAGCATGTGATCTTGTGACCTTACTCCCTGTTCTTACACCCCCTCCCCTTTTGAAATCCTTAATAAAACTTGCTAGTTTTGCAGCTCAGGTGGGCAATCACGGTCCTACCAATATGTGATGTCACCCCCGGAGGCCCAGCTGTAAAATTCCTCTCTTTGTACTCTTTATTTCTCAGCCAGCCAATACTTATGGAAAATAGAAAGAAACTACGTTGAAATACTGATACTAAAACTCAAATGGAAGCACTGACTCATTCAAAGTTACATAATCTACATCAGTAACATAATTTTACCTATTACTGATGTCAGTATAGCTCCAGTACATGAGGCAAGCATTTGTTGAAGAGGTGTCACTTTGATAATCTCTTGTCCCCTTGTCTCAGGATCCATATTTTTAACTAATTAAATAAAAACCTGTTAAAAAGAAAACATAAAATTAGAGCACATCCTCTGATCTTTCAAAAATGATAACATCCTTCAGCTAAGCTGGGTGAGCAGCATCACATTAGTAAGACAACTAAGAGAGAATTAACCAAACAGATACTGACAGAATGAAAGCAGGTGACCACTAAGTCTGAGTCTGTGAACTCAGCCTCATACACACTACTAAAAAAACCTCCCCAATAGAGTACAGAGGTATCAGCAAATACAGCCCTTTATTGTATACCAGTAGTTGTTGTACAGATGTAAAATAAAAACACATAACCTTAATAAGTTTTATCTTACAAAAATTTGATGAGAAAAGCAACATAAAAACATAAAAAGTTTTAAAAAGTCAGATAATACAGAACAGTATAAAAATAACTTATGAACTTACTATTCAAAAATAATCACCGGCCAGGCGTGGTGGCTCACACCTGTAACCCCAGCACTTTTGGAGGCCGAGGCGGGCGCATCATGAGGTCGGGAGATCGAGACCAACCTGGCTAACATGGTGAAATCCTGTCTCAACTAAAAATACAAAAAATTAGCCAGGTGTCTGTAGTCCCAGCTACTCGGGAGGCTGAGGCAGGAGAATGGCGTGAACCCAGGAGGCGGAGCTTGCAGTGAGCCGAGATCGCACCACTGCACTCCAGCCTGGGCAACAGAGCAAGACTCTGTCTCAAAAAAAAATAATAATAATAATCACCAGCAACAGGAATGTCATCTTTCCAAATGTCTATGAACATACACACATACATATGTATATGTCTATACACACACATTACATCTAACCAAATATTGTATATTAATCAAACACACGTACACTTATGTGTCCGTGTACATACAGCTTTTCTGAAAAACAGGTCAATACTATTTTGCTTGTTTAGTAGGCTGCTTTAACACTTAAAAACACATTATAGACATTGTGTCAATAAAAACAGATTTACATTTTTATTGCTTGCACGGTAGTTAATTATATTTATTTAATCAGTTTCAGATTGTTAGATATCAGGTTGTTGCCAATTTCCAAACTATAAAATATTCTGCTATAACATTCTTATACATACATATATATATTTTTGTAACCTTCCTACAATTACTGTAGGAAAGATAGTAAGATTGATGGGATAAGCTATTTTAAAACTTGATACAGGGCCAGGTGTGGTGGCTCACACCTGTAATCCTAGCACTTTGGGAGGCCAAGGCAGGTGGATTACCTGAGGTCAGGAGTTTGAGACCAGCCTGGCCAACATGGTGAAATCCAGTCTCTACTAAAAATACAAAAAATTAGCAGGGCATGGTGGCGCAAACCTGTAGTCCCAGTTCCGTGGGGGACTGAGGCATGAGAATCCCTTTAACCCAGGAGGCAGAAGTTGCAATGAGCCAAGATCGCATTACTGCACTCCAGCCTAGGTGACAGAGAAGACTACATGTCAAAATCAAAACAACAACAACAAAAAAAACGTCATACAAATTGCCATGATGCTTTCCAGAAAGCTTGGATCAATCTATACTTCTACTGGCAATATGAGAGTTCCTACTTATCCATGACTTATCAAATTCTCTGTCAAATTACATATAATTTTTTTTCTGAACCATTCAAAAGTAGGCTGCATACATCATGTCCCTTCACCATAAATACATCAGAATATTATCTTATATAATCACAATACAATTATCAAATTCAGGAAACTTAATTTTGAACCGTACTCTACAGTTCATATTCCAATTCTGTCAATAATATCAATAATGTCCTTTATCAAAATAAATAGTAATTTTATTGATTCTTTAGACTTTTATTATCTACCTACCTGGTTTGAGTCTGTTCTTCAACTCTATGCTCCAATATTTTATTGTTTGTAACATCAGTAGCCAAAAACCTGTAATTAAGAAGAAAGTAATTGTCTTATCTTTTCACACAGGAAAAGGATAATAAATCTAAAAGAAAAGAGTACATAAAAACTTTAATACAAAAATCAACAAATACTCATTAAATGCTTTCTACTAATTGCTTTGAAGAATATAAAGAGCACTCCATAAATGCAAGCATTAGTTATAGAAGCATTTTCACAAAAACCTCATGTTATTCTAGTTAATATACTCTGCTTTAAAAACAAATAAGCAAACGACTCTAGAGCCCAAACACAGTGATTAATCTTAGCATCATTTACAGTAGAACAACCAGATTTTGTAACACAAAATTAAAGGGCCAGCATCATCTATGACGGTTGTTTTTTTTGGGAAGGGAGTGTAAGAGGGCGAACCTTTAATCTGAATCGAAACAATCTTTAATCTGAATCTGAAACAACAAGCTTTAGGTCTAACTTCCAAGTCACAGGAAATTCAGCAACTAGTGTAACAAGGTAATGGATGCCACATAACAGTAGAAGTTGTACTCTTTTAGCCTACAAGACTATTGTCTTGATTTATTTGAATCAAAGGTGGGAAAAAAACGTGGCAAGGGAGAGTAAACTGTTCTAGATTAAAAGGAATCTTAAGAGTCAACCACCAAAAGAACCCTGGTTCAAACAAACAAATTTTTCCAGTTTGAGGGTAACTAGTGATATGTGACCATGGTCTGGTATTAGATAATATTAATTGGATATTAGATAATATTTCAGAAATCTTGTTCATTTTGTATACAGAAAGTATTTTTTTGAGAGATTCATTCTAAATTATTAAGGACCATAATGTTCTAATAACTGTAGTTTACAATACTTTGAAAACATAAATATACTAAAATGTTATGATTTGGTAAACCTATGTAAACATATACCATATTTCATTGTTCTGTATTTTTCTGTATATGTGAAAATATGTACAATAAAAATATTTTAGTTCCTGAAACTTATGTAGAATCTTCAAGTCTAGGGAACATATTTGTAACATTCATTTAAATGAGCTCCTTTAAGTGGAAAAATAATATATGTATGCTAGAATATAGGTATACTTCTCCTCCAGAATGGTAAAACGGCCCACAGCACTTTATTGTTGACATTGATGCCAGCAAGGTTGACAACTTGAATATGCGCACATGAAATTAAATCCAGAAAACTTTATTATATTTCTAGCCATCAGAATGTAAGGAAACAAGTCAGAAATTTAGATATAACTTTTTAGAATAGTTAATGAAATTGTTTCATAACATATATACTATTTTAGAAAAATAAGTTACATCAATTATCTCCTAAAATCATGTTATCTAATTATAATGAGAAATGAAAAATGAGTCTCCTTTTCAATTTATTACAAAAATAATGAAAAAAAAGGCAAAACGCTACTCCCAGAGACTTGGGAGTACAGGTAGAAAATCTGAGAAGTGATTATCAGTGAACTGCCTAGAACTCATAATGTATTCAACACTGCTTTAAACTCCCTACAGTTTTACCAACCTACTTATCTTTTTTCTGTCCCACTTTCTATTCTCCTATGTGCAGACACTGTCCCTTTTTAGGGAGGACACATTCTACTGGGAGAACTCACTCTAACAAAATATCTCTTGGCTTTCCTGTAATAGTAGAACATCTCATGAAGAAATGTTCTGCAAGAACAGCTTTCCTCCCTCAACTCCCTGCAAAATTCCTCTTTTCTATACCTTTTCTGCTTCTGTATGCTACTGAAGTAACCATTAATAATTTACTCTAACTAACCAAGGTGGTCTTCAAATGTAAATGGGAAGCATTCTCCAACATGAAAAACCCATGAGCCCTTCTTGAGAAACAAAAGTTACTTAATAACAAAATTCACTTAACCAGGAGATTAATGAAGAATCTTTAGTAAAAGGATTAAAGTAACTTACATTTAAGCCAGAAGACAGAACACTATCTCCTCAGTATCATCAGAATTTTCAATTTTTTCAAAACAAATATGTGTTAAATGCAATCTTATTATAATCTTGATTTACCTTCTGTATTAGTCTGTTTTCACACTACTGATAAAGACATACCCAAGACTGGGCAATTAACAAATAAAAGTGTTTTAATGAACTCACAGTTCCACATGCCTGGGGAGGCCTCACAATCATGGCAGAAGGTAAAAGGCAAGTCTCACATGGCAGCAGAGAAGAGAACTTGTGCAGGGAAACTCCCCTTAATAGAACTATCAGATTTCGTGAGAGGTATTCACTATCACAAGAATAGGATGGGAAAGACTCACCCTCATGATTCAATTACCTCCCACCAGGTCTCTCCCACAATATGTGGGGACTGTGGAAGCTACAATTCAAGATGAGATCTTGGTGGGGATACAGCCAAACTGTATCACCTTCCCCTGGCCAATAAAGATGCTTAACATCTCTGCATATTTTTATCAGTAGTATATATTGCCTCTTCTGTAGTATGTCCATTTACATCTTTTACCTACTTTGATGTTAAGGCATGTATACTTTCCTTACTGGTTTGAGAAATCCTTTATTCCATTTTTTAAAAAAATACTTAGGAATGCATGATATGGTTCGGTTGTCTCCCCACCCAAATCACATCTTAAATTGTAGTTCCCATAATCCCCATGTGTCATGAGAGGGACCCAGTGAGAGGTAATTTAATCATGGAGGTGGTTACCCACATGATGTTCTTGTGATAGTGCGTTCTCACAAGATCTGATGGTTTTATAAGGGGCTTTCCCCCCTTTTGCTTGGCACTTCTCCTTGCTGCCACCATGTGAAGGACATGTGTGCTTCCTCTTCCACTGTGATTGCCAGTTTCCTGAGGCCTCCCCAGCCACAATGAACTGTGAGTCAATTGAACAATTTTCCTTTATAAATAACCCAGTCTCAGGTATGTCTTTATTAGCAGTGTGAGAACGGACTAAGACATTTATTTATTTTTATTGATACATACTAGATGTACATGTTTTGGGGGTACATGTGATAATCTGATACATTAATATAGTGTGTCAAGATCAAATCAGGGTAATTGGGATATACATCATTTTAACCATTTATCTTTTATTTATGTTAGGAACATTCGAATTATCTTCCAGTTATTTTGAAATGTACAACAGATTATTAAGTATGCTTACTCAACGATCAAACACTAGGTCTTATTTCTTCTAACTGAAAGTTGTACTCATTCATCAACCTCTCTTCCCAGTTTCCTTCCCCAAAACCTTCCTGGCCTCTGGTAATTACCAATCTACTATCTTCATGAGATCCACTTTTTTAGCTCCACATATGACTGAGAACATGTGATGTTTGTCTTTCTCTGTCCGGCTTATTTCAATTAACATAAGGATTTCTAGGACTTCTAGGTTCATCCATGTTGTCACAAGCGACAGAATTTCATTCTCATTTTACAAATGTTCTGTAAATGTCAGTTAGGGCTGTGTAGTTTAACTCCAGTGTTTCCTTGTTGGTTTGTTATTATGTCTGAATGATCTGTCCATTACTGAGAGTGTGTTACTGAAGCTCCCCACTAATACTGAATTGCTGTCTCTCTCCCTTTAGGACTATTTTAAAAATTTAATTGATATGTATTAGGTGCACTATATTCAGGGTGGATGTGATAATTTAATACATTCATATAATTTATAAAGTCAAATCAGTGTACTTGGGATATCCAGCACCTTAAATATTTATGTTAGAAAGATGTGAATTATTGTCTACTAGCTATTTTGAAATACACAACGGATTAGTGTAAACTATATCCACCATGCTGATCTATCAAAAAAACGTGGTCTTATTTATTTTACCAAACTGTTCCCTTTAGATCTATTAATGTTTGCTTTATATATCAGGGTGTTCCCGCATTGGTTAAATATTTATAATTGTTATATCATCTTGCTAAATTGACCCCTTTATCATTTTATAGTGACTTTGTCTCTTTTTACAGTCTTTGACTAGTAGCCTATTTTACATATGCATAGCTAGTCCAGATCCTTTTTGGTTTCCACTCGCATAAATGAAATACCTTTCCCCATCCCTTCATTTTCAAATTGTGTCTTTATAGATTAAGTAGGTTTCTTGTGGACAGCATATGGTTGGGTCTTGGTTTTCTTAATCCATTTAGCCATTCTGTGTCTTTAAGCTGAGAACTGAATCTATTTCTATTCTGTGTTAGTACTAATAATAACTTACCACTGCCCTTTTGTTGTTTCTTTAATGGCTGTTTTCTAACTTGTCTCCTCTTCTTTTCTTCCATTCTTACTGTTTTCCTTTGTGGCTAAGTGATTTTCTTTGTTAGCATGTTTTGATTTGTTGATTTTTTTCTTTTCTTTTCTTTTCTTTTTTTTTTTTTTGAGACAAGGTCCTGCTCTGGTGCCCAAACTGGAGTGCAATGGCAGGATCACAGCTAATTGCAACCTCAAACTGCCAGGCTCCGGCAATCCTATTGCCTTAGCCTCTTGCAGACCTAGGACTACAGGCACGAGCCACCACTACTGGTCTAACGCATTGCTTGTTATTTTTAGTGTATCTACAATAAGTTTTTCCATTGTGGTTGGCATGAATTTTAAAAATCATCTTGTAAATACAACAAATTATTTTTAAAAGATGAAAACTTATTTTAGATAACAAAGAACAGAAACCAAGAGAAAACTAAAAAAAAAGCTCTACACTTTAATACATCCTCCACACATTTTGACTTTGTCTTAATTTACCTATTTTTATATTCCTTATCTCTCAACAGGCCGCAGTAGCTATCACAGTTTTTAACAGATTTTTCTCTTATGCTTCATACTAGAGTTATGAGTGAATTGCACACCACAATTACAGCATTAGAATATTCTTGGGAGGCCAGGTACAGTGGCTGAGGCCTATAATCCCAGCACTTTGGGAGACCAAGGCAGGCGGATCACTTAAGGCCACAAGTTTGAGACCTGCCTGGCCAAGAGGGCGAAACCCCAACTCCGTTAATAAAAATAAAAATTAGCCAGGTGCAGTGGTGCATGCCTGTAGTTCCAGCTACTCAGGAGGCTGAGGCAGGAGAATTGCTTGAACCCAGGAGGCAGAGGTTGCAGTGACCCAAGATCACACCACTGCACTCTAGTTTGGGTGACACAGTGAGACTCCGTCTCGGGGGGAAAAAAAAAGAATATTCTTGGGGACTGTGCACAGTGGTCCATGCCTATAATCCCAGCAGTTTGGAATGCCAAGGCAGGTGGATCGCTTGAGCCCAGGAGTTGAAGACCAGCATGGGCAACATGGTGAAACCCCATCTCTACAAAAAAATACAGAAATTAGCCAGGTGTGGTGGCACACACCTGTAATTCCAGCTACTTGGGAAGCAGAGGTGGGAGGATCGCTTGAGCCCACAAAGCAGAGGTTTCAGTGAGCTGAGATCATGCCACTGTACTCCAGCCGAGGCAATAGAACAAAACCCTCTCTAGGAAAAAAAAAAAAATGAATGAATATTAATGGTCTGTGTACTTACTTTAACTGGCCAGTTTTGCACCTTCAAATGTTTTCTTTTCACACGTTTTTTTCCTCCAGGTTGAAGAATTCCCTTTAGCGTTTCTTGTAAAATGGGTATGGTGTGGTGAATCCTCCTAGCTTTTGTCTAGGAAAGACTTTATCTGGCCTTCACATTTCAAGGGTATATTTGCTGGATACAGTATTCTTGGATGGCAGATTTTTTTTTTCATTCAGCCCTTTAAAAATGTCATCTAACTCCTTCCTGGCCTGTATGGCTTCTGTTGAGAAGTCTGTTGCCAGATGAATTGGAGTTTGTTTACATGTTACTTGATTCTTTTCTTCTGCTGCTTTTAGAATCCTTTCTTTATCCTTGCCCTTTTAGAGTTTGATTATTATATGCTGTGGGAAAGACAGTTTCTGGGGTGCCAGTTGAGTTGGTTTCCCCTGCATGAGACATTCATGGGAAGCCATGGGCGTCCTCTGAGGAGAAACGTCTCCTTATTGCCTTCATGTCTTTATGCCCTGAGAGCATAACCGCTCAGCGGCATTCCACAGGTTGCTCAGGGAGATAACACTCCTTGAAGCAGTGGAGTATAATCAAACATCTTGGCTCCTCCTGAAACCCACTCCCACCTGTTTCAGTCCCGATAAGTTAAAGATCTTAAGTAGTTTAGACACACACCTTTACTCAAGGAAATTCACAGAAACCACCACTGCTACTCACGAGTTCCTTCACTGATTAATCCTTTTCCTCATCCCTTCCTATCCCTCCCATCTTCCCTAAGAACAAAGAGCTTGTAAACCAATAAATTGGGTGGAGCCCAAGAGTTCTGGGCCGTGAGCAAGCCTCCGATGCTCTGGTCCCCTGGATGCGCCTTTTAAGCGCTTATTCTGTCTTTTTCTAACTCCTTTGTCTCCGCCAGACTTGGGGTACCCACTGGGTGGTGTGCGGCTGGTTTTCCCAACATATGCCTTAGGGAAATCTTATTTGGATCAAATCTGTTTGTTGTTCTCAGACCTTCCTATAACTGGATAGTTATATCTTTCTCAAGTTTGGGAAAGTTTTCTGTTATTATTTCTTTGAATAAGTTTTCTACCTCAACTCCCTCTTGAACACCAATAATTCTTAAGATTTGGTCTTTTGAAGTAATTTTCTGTATCTTGTAGGTAATCTTCATTCCTTTTCATTCTTTTTATTCTCCTCTGTGTGTTTTCAAATAGCCTGTCCTTTAGCTCACTGATTGTTTTCTCTGCTTGATCCATTCTGCTGTTCACAGTATCTAATCAAATTTTTAGTTGACAAATGTATTGCTGAGTTCCAGATTTCATTTTTAAAAACAATTTCAATCTGTTTAATTTCTTTGATAAATTTCTGGAATTTTTTTTTGTTTTATCTTGGAGATCACTAAGTTTACTTAAAACTGCTATTTTAAATCCTTGGTTGGAGAGCTCATGTACTGTGTCTCTTTAGGATCAGTCATTGGAGTTTTGCTATGTCTTTTTGGGGAGGTCACTGTTCCCTATTTGTTATTTCCTATAGATTTATGTCCATATCTTTGCAATGAATAATTCATTTATTCCAGTCTTTTTGGTCTGGATTGTTTTGGTGTTTACTGGGCATGTTTGCTTAGACACTCTTTGTAATTTATCTGTTGAATATTGTTTCCCACTAGGTCACTGCCTCCTTTTTGGTACTAGGTGGCACTTTAAGCACAGGATTGTCTCAGCTTTAGTAAGCAATCTAAATGCTGCCTGTCCTGAACAGGGGAAATCACAGAGAATGTATCACAGCAGTGTGAGAAGGATGGTTAGGCATTTCTGCCTAGGGGACCTGTGGAACATACCTCTTACATTGTGGTGTTGCTGAACAGCCACTATGATTTGGCATCTCCTTTGGTTCAGTTATAGAGCAGAGTTTGCAAGGTCAGGGATGGTGGTACCACCTCCCCACCTTTTACTCTGCCTGCCCTGAGCAATATTTCTACCTTCAGGCACTGCCAATGCTTCCAATGAGTCGAGGGAGGAGGAATTCTCCTGAAAGGGAACCCGAGATGATAGGGAAGCTGGCTGTCCACCTCAATCTCACAACTTCCAGTATAGAAACCATGAATTAAAGGGAACTATTCTGTGCACTTGGTGCCAGAAGACTCGGAGGAAAAGTATCTGTGATACTCTCAAACCGTGTTTTTCCTCTGCTCTCACACCAGAAGAATCAACAAAGAATTATCTGACCAAATGTTTGGGGGTGAGGAGTTCCCCCTACCTATATGCAGTGGACCCTGCCACCTTGATATCCTTCAATTTAATTCTGACACTACCTACCTGGAAATAAGAATCTGATCCCACAGGTTGAGGGCTGTCTCCAAGACTGCCTCCCCACCTTCAGTCAGAAGTCCATGCCTCCAGAACTTCTTACTAATCAGATTCGAGTTGGGGTTCCCACAACTCCCTCTTTGGGTTTGAACAATTTGCTAGAGTGGTTCACAGAACTCAGCAAAACAGCTTTTCTGGTTCCTTATAAATGATATCGCAAAGGGAACGGGTGAAGAAATGTACAGGGCAAGGTATAGGGGAAGGAGGTGGTGCTTCCATTCCCTTCCTGGGCATGCCACCCTGCAGGAACCTCAACATATTCAGCTATCCAGAAGCTCTCTGAACCCTGTCCTCTCAGGTTTTTATGAAGGCTTCATGATGTAGGCCTACTTAATTAAACCACTGGTCATTAGTGATCAACTTGACCTTCAGCTCCTCTCCTCTCCCCAAAGGTTTCAGGGTACAGCTGTAAGTCCCAAACTTCTAATCATGCCTTCATTTTTCTGGTGACCAATCCTACCCTAAAGCTATCAGTCAGTATTAGCATACAAAAATATAGGACTTTGGAGATTCTAAGGATTTTAGGAGCTGTACATCAGGAAATGGAAATGAAAGCCAAATATATATTTCACAATATCAGACCATCTGCTTAGAGTTTTTTTCATTTATCTGTGGCTCTGAAAGCTGCCTCATCCTATTTGAGTTCTGGGATATTGCTGGTGGTAATCTTGGCACTGTATATTTGTTTTCAGTTTTCTGTTAAAGAGAATGAAGCCAACTTGCTTCTACACCACCATTTTGGAATTGAAAACTCGCCCCTCTGGCTGGGTGTGGTGGCTCATGCCTGTATTCCTAGCACTTTGGGGGGCCGAGTGAGGCAAACTGCTTGACCTCAGGAGTTTCAGACCAACCTGGGCAATGTGGTGAAACTCCATCTCTAGAAAAAAATACAAAAAATGAGCTAGGTGTAGTGGTGTGCACCTCTAGTCCCAGCTACATGGGGGTGCTGAGATGGGAGGATCACTTGAGCCTAGGAGGTCAAGGCTGCAGTGAGCCTATATCATGCTATTGCATGCCAGCCTGGGTGTCAAAGTGACAAAGTGAGACCCTGTTCCAAAAAAAAAAAAAATCCAAAAAAAACCTCTCCCCTTTATTCTATTTCAGTTCGTACCCCCTTTTTTTCTGGTTTCCTTTACTCACTAATTATTCTGAAATTCATTCATTTTATTACATGCATTGATACTTGGTTCCTTTCCACTTCTGAATACTATTCCATTACATAAATATACTACAATTTATCCATTTATCTGTTGATGAAAATCTGGGTTGTTTCAAGTTAGGGCCTATTACAAATAAAGCAACTATGATTATCTGTTTAAATCTTGAGTAAATACATAAGTAGAATAGCTGGATCAAATGGTAAATGTATGTTTAACGTTTAAAGAAATTCAGAAAATGTTTTCCGAAGCCGTTGAACCATTTTACACACCCACCAGCACTATATGCAAGTTCCAGTTGCTTCACATCCTTAACAACACTTGGTATGGTCAGTTTTAACATTTTATTCCTTTGAATATATGAATCGTGAAATCTCATTGTGGTATTACTTTGCATTTTTCTAAGGAATTGTTATGTTATGCATAACAATTATATCTTCTTTGGAGAAATATATCTTCTTTGGAGAAATAGCTATTTAGATCCTTTGGTCATTTTTAAATTGGGTCATCTTCTTATTGAGTTATAATAATTCTTCATATTTTTTGGATACTAGATCCTTACCAGATATATTAGATGCAAAATAGCTTATTTTGTGGGCTGTCTTTTCACTTTCTTCATAGTGTTCTTCAACATACAAAAGTTTTAAGTCTAGACAAAGCTCAATTTGCCTATTTTTTCTGTTGTTGGCCTTCTGAAGCAAAGGACAAAAATGATAAAACGTCACTTTCAAGATTAACTTATAAAAGACTGTGATGTCCACTAAAGCAGACTCTGCTTTCTTCACTAGCTTTATCTGATGATGATAGGGACAAGAGGCAGATAAATTCTGGGCATAAGAGGGCAGATCCCCAGTGAGGACCCCACCCTCAAGCCTGGAATTGCAGCCCAAAGTGAGAACTTAGATCCCTGTTTTCCCACTTGAATGTTGCCTTTTCCAAAACTACCTATGACCTGCCCCACCCTCATCCTGTGCCCATAAAAACCACAGGCTCAGCCAGCACAGGGAAGAGAAGAAGCAGCCGAATGTCTGAGAGAAGCAGCTTACTTCAGAGTGATGGCTTGATGGTGTAACTTTGGAGATGGGTCTGGCTGGGGACGGCCGGACCTTAGGGTAAGATTAGCTTCCTGCTCCAACCCCTTTTCAGCTCCCCTTCTTGCTGAGAGCCACTTTCATCAGCAATAAAACTCCCTGCATTTACCATATTGAAGTTGTTCGTGTGACCTCATTCCTCCTGGATGCCCGACAAGAACTCAGGTGCCACACATGAACGTGTAAAAGGCCATCACACTGACCCTCATAAGCTGCTAACACTTAAGCTGTCCGTGGATGGCAAAACTGAAAGGGCACTGTATCATTTCCTCTGGGGCTTCAGGGGTCACAGGCATCCCTCTCCTAGATGCTGCCACAGGGCCGGTACAGTTTGCTCTTGCTGGCGCCCAAAAGCACTCGCCCTAGCTTCTGCATCCACTCACCTGCACTCCCCATCATGTGAGGGGTGGAACAGCGAGTGAGTAGAGTTTGCCCCTGCCGGTGCTCATGCACTCCAGTTCCCATGCATGAAGGCGTCAGGGAAATACCGTGATTCAATGATACAGGCTGCCATGCTGTGAACTGCCCTATGTGGAGGCCCATTCGGGCAACAAAAACAGCCTCCAGATAATAGCATTGAACTGAGGCCCTTCAGACCAACAAGCCAAAGGAAAGTGAATCTTGCCAACAACCCCTAGTGAGCTTTAAATTAGATCCCTCCCTGGTTGAGCCTTGAGATAAATGCAACCTCAGCCAACACCTTCACTGCACTGTCCTGAGAGATCCTGAGCTTGCTTAACTAAGCTGCATCCAGATTCCTGACACACAAAAACTGTGAGATAATAAAGATTAGTTATTTTAAGATAACTACATTTTGGAATAATTTGTTATACAGCAACAGGTAGTATCTATTGAGATGATACATACGGTTTTTCCTTTTTGGTCTGGTTACATGGTGATTTACACTGCTTGATTCCTGGAATAAACCTCCATTTACTCATGATGTTTTATCCTTTGTATATAGAATTGGTTTTCATTTGTTAAATTTTTGCTAAGAATTTAACCATCTATGTTTATTAGGGATGCTGATCCATAATTTTTTGTATCATCTTTGCCTTTCTTAAAATGCACATGTGAGAGAATTCACCAGTGAAGCTATCCAGACCTGGAGTTTTCTTTAGTAGATATAAGAATATTTAGGTTATTTCTTCTCCTGTAAGCTTTGACAGTTAGTGTACTTCAAGTAATTTGTCCATTTCATTTAAGTTGTTGAATTTATCAGCATAAGGTTGTTCATAATATTACTTTGTTGTCATTTTAACATCCATTGGTTCTGTAGTTGTGTACCTTTCACTAATTTATTAAAGATCTTAATAAATGAAGAAATATTACCATTTCATAGACTGGAAGAATAAATGCTATAAAGATATAAATTCTTCCAAATTTATCTATAGATTCACAGGAATCATAACCTCTTACTTAATCTTCTTACATAATCTTCTTACTTTTGTGGGTTTGACAAACTCTTTTCCAAAACTTACATGGAAGTAGAAAATGGCAAGAACTACCTAAAGTTTTGAGATGCAGCTAAAGCAGCATTTACAATGAAATTTATAGCATTACATGCTTGTATTAGAGAAGGCCTAAAATTAACTATCTAAGCTAAAAACAAAAGAGCAAATTAGAACCAAAAGAAGAAGAAATGAAAATAAAAACCAATAAAATTGAAAGCTGAAAAACAATAGGAAAAAACAATAAAAGCTGGTCCCTTGAGGCAAAAGAATAAAAAATAAATAAACGTCCAGTCAGATGATAGAGGAAGAAGAAAACCTTTGACAACATCCCACACCCACCATGACTGAAAGGCTTGAGCAAGCCTTTCAATCCTTTTCAATGAAAGGGAAATTCCTCGGTTTGATAAGAACCATTTACTACTCTCATCATTTCTATTCAACAAAGTACTGAAGAATTTAGCCAGTACAATAAAGCAAGATAAACAAATTAAATGCAGGCTGGGCACAGTGGCTCACGCTTGTAATCCTAGCACTTTGGGAGGTCGAGGCTGGCGGATCATCTGAGGTCAGGAGTTCAAGACCAGCCTGGCCAACACAGTGAAACCCTGTCTCTACTAAAAATACAAAAATTAGCTGGGCATGGTGGCAGGCGCCTGTAATTTAAAGTGAACACACTTAGGATGTCTTCAAGGGCCTGATAATGCTGAATTTACCCTGGTTTCCCAGCCCACAGTCACCTGAGACATTAACTACAGTTCCACAGCCACTAACCAATCCTATCCTTTCATGCACTTAGCCTGCAAAACTAAGAATTTAACCTTACATATAACCTTAAGCCCTCCAATTCACCAGGATAGTGAGACTATGAAATGTGAAAATTAATAAAAATAGATCAGAACACATTTCAGAAGACGACATATCAATAGTTGGCAAATGAATCAAACAGGAATGATTATACCCAAATGAGCAGGAGATAAAGGATGAATCTAAGCTAGGTTTGCTATGGACAGGAAAAAATAATTGCTGAGCCAGGTGAAGAGGCTTAGGCAAAAGAAAGAAAAAAAAAGTGATAAGTACTACAAAATTAATTTGTCTAGATTCTAGAACAAAAAATTTATATTTGGGTATGTGTGAGGTAATCTGAAAGATCAGATTAGGTCTCTGATAATCACAAAAAGTTGTGGAGTAGACTGAACAATATTATCTTCATTTATAGATAAGTAAATTCTAGCATAGAAAGGTTAACTTTTTTTTTTTTTTTTTTTTTGAGAGGGAGTCTCGCTCTGTTGCCCACGCTGGAGTGCAGTGGCGCAATTTCCGCTCACTGCAACCTCCGCCTTCTGGGTTCAAGTGATTCTCCTGCCTCAGCCTCCTGAGTAGCTGGGGTTACAGGCGGGGACCACCATGCCCAGCTAATTTTTGTATTGTTAGTACAGCCAGAGTTTCACCATGTTGGCCAGGCTGGTCTCCAACTTCTGACCTCGTGATCCGCCACCTCGGCCTCCCAAAGTGCTGGGATTATAGGCTTGAGCCACCGTGCCCAGCCAGAAAGGTTAACATTTGCCCATGGTCACAAAACTAGTTAGGGACAGGGCCAGCAATGAATAAAATTCATTTCTCTTGATTCACAGCCACATATTCATTTAATTAGATCATGATTCTGCTCAATGTTCTCCAATTTTGCCTAATATAACTCTTGAACAAAGTTTCTCACCATAAATAACCCTGCCCCCATTCACTTCTTCTTAAATGTCTACCCTTCCTCTGAAGAAATGTTTTCAAGCATATTTTCAAGATCTACTTTAAGACAAACCCTACCCTCTTACCAACAGACCTGATTACTGGACAATAAAAAGGAGGTTTCTATCCTTACTGACTACAGCCATATCCTTTCTGTGGCTACTAACAGATTTAGGTTCCAGTAATATTTTAAAAACTAACCTTGGATAATAGATTAGAAAATTACTAACTATTGCATAAAGCGGACTTCCTGCTTATTTATTGCTTGGAATTACCATCTTCAGTGCAGTCGAGGGTGAGTCTAACCGCATAGGGTGCAACTATGTTACTGTCCTTCCTCTTCACGGCAAATAAGACACACAATTCATCTTTCACAAGACCATAAAATGGGACTTCCTTTTTTAAAAAAAAGTTCCTCAATAGAAGCATGCTTAAAAATCTTTCCCACATCCTCTAAACCTTCCAAAGATCCAGTCTTCCCTTCATTATACTTTCCTACAATAACAAATTTTTTTGAAAGAGTACACTCAACCTGTCTGAACTTCAAGATTATAATTTTTATCTAGTACTGTACTTATCTCTGCCACCTACTCAAATTACCCTTAAGGAAACCAAGGATACCTGAAACGCCAAAATCAAATACTTATTTTTCAAGTCTTAACCTTATCTGTCCTGGGGATGAAGGAACTGGTGCAGTGTTCACTAGAATGATAGTAATTATGGAGCTCTTAAGGAGCTCTACTCTGTGCCAGGCACTGTACTAAGCATTCAAAAATGTTCATTTAATCTTCACAACATCCCTGAGAAGTACTACCCCCTTTTAATAGATTAAAATTGGGGCTCAAAATTACCCAGAGGCCAAGTAGTTAGTGAAGCCCATATGATTCCAATGTTTGCAGTCTCTTCCCAATTCTGTGGCATTTTCTCCATCTCTTTCACTATTTCATCAACGACGCTTATAATCAATTCTCTTATTTCACATGCTCTCCTTGGCAATTTCATTTCCTCCCAAAGCTTTAACTACATTCTATATTAGTGCTTCCCAACTTTTTAAATCTTTCTGTAAATATAAACATTTTGTGCTCTCTGTAGCTTATATTTTGAAAATAAGTTTTTTCCCATAGAAATTACAATATTGAATATGTTTGTTCAAACTACACTTCCTTCCACCACTCAAGATCTGTTAACCTCTAATGAATTGCCCCATGATTGACATCAATAGACCTTGATGCAGAAATATTTTATTGGAGAGATATCAAATCAATCTCTATTTCCTCTTCCCATGTCCACTTCTGCTAGACATTTCTCTCGAGTCATAAACATCTTTAACTGTCTAATAAGCATAGTTCCATGACTGTCGCCCCAGGCCCTTCAACATAAACCTGTCTAAAACCAAACTCTCATTTCCCTTAGCAAACCTGTTCTCTGCGTTCTCCAGCTAATCTTGTCACAACCCACCCTTGTCTATTCTTTAAGGTACCTACCTGCAAAACCGTAACGCTGATACTCTGACTTCCTTGAGCTACCAGGTAAAAAAATCAACCACTACAGGAGTGCCTATTATGGCCTGGAGTAGAGGAATGCAAAATAGTTCAAAATATCCTCTTCCTCCTGAAGAAACAGATTTTTTTTTTTTTTTGGAGAGGCATGTTCCAACTTATAAAATTAAAATATATTCACAAGCATTTTAATTTGATCTTTAATCTCTGTTTTACAGGAAAAAAAAATGAGATGTTACTTTCCACTCCTTCATTGTTGAAATAAACTTACACTCAACTAAAAGAAAACAGGTCTGAATACAATAAAAGTCAACAGGACAGCGCAAATAGCCAACTACCCAAGGACACAAAGTGACCTGGAGGCGTTCTGCGGTGGCGCTGCCGTCAAGGCCGGGGCCGCCTGGCCAGACCCTCCCTCAGACGCCCCCCGGGGCCGCCCTCACTCCCGCACGTCCCTCTGCAGCTGTCCTCAGCCGGTGGGGTCGGCAGTGACCGCGGGAAAACCCCGCTTGCTGTGCGACCCAGGGCGCGCTGAGCAGGGGCTGCGGCTGCCGCCGCTGTCCGGCTCCGGTTCCGGCCCCGGCCCCGGGCCCGGCCAGAGCTGAGTCCGGACTCAGCCAAAGCCCCTCGCCTTCAGCTTCCCAGACGTCCGACCAGTGGAAAATTAGCATACCTGGGGCAGAAGGCAGCTGCAGGGCCGGCAGTCCTGGCAAACCTAGAAGGCGGGAATAACCCTGGTGACGGGCGGGGCCGGGCTCCGGCGCTAACTGCATCCACTAGGTTTGGTCAACACAGAGCCGCGCCAACTCTCTGAGGCTGCGCCAAGACCTGAAGCGGCGGACCGAGAGCCCGGGTCTGAGACTGAGAGAGCAACGGAATGGAGGCGGGGTAGAGGCGGAAACACAACCTGCAGGGCCAGAGCGAGGCGCGAGAAGGACGGCGGCGTGAGGGGGCGGGGCGCGCAGCGCGAGAAGGCAGGCACGAGGGGCGAGCGCGAGGCGGGGCACGGCGCGTGGCGTGAGACGGGGCGGGGCGCGCGTATCGGCGCCGCGGCCGCGTGACGCGTTTTCAAATCTTCAACCGCCGCAGCCCACTCGTTTGTGCTTTGCGCCTTCCTCCTCCGCGCCTTGGAGCCGGATCCGGCCCCGGAAACCCGACCTGCAGACGCGGTACCTCTACTGCGTAGAGGCCGTAGCTGGCGGAAGGAGAGAGGCGGCCGTCCTGTCAACAGGCCGGGGGAAGCCGTGCTTTCGCGGCTGCCCGGTGCGACACTTTCTCCGGACCCAGCATGTAGGTGCCGGGCGACTGCCATGAACTCCGGAGCCATGAGGATCCACAGTAAAGGACATTTCCAGGGTAAGAAGCCCCTCCTCCGCCTGCAGTCCCTTTAATCCTTTCCTCCCCTCGTGGTTCCACCATTGATTCTTCAGACTTCTCCCGCCGGGTCCTCAGCTTCTTTTCTTCTGACCGGCCTCTGGGGTCTGAAGGAAGGAGCCCCCGTTCAGTGTTTTGCCTAAGAAGGAACGGATCCTGACCCGGCCCCTCGAGCGCTCTGCCGTTTACAGCGGCGGTCCCAGATTGATTCCCGGTCGTGCCTTCGGTTGAAAACTAGCAAACAATGTGCAGATCCGGGACCTCGCCGGGACTGCGGCGCTGTCTGCTCCCGGGCTCTCGCATATGCTAAGCCTCCGCCCGGGCCCTTGGAGGCGACGGACTGCATCCTCAATTTAAAGTCAGACGCGCTCGTGGCTTTTCGCTTCAGGATTAGATTGAGTGATTGTGGGTGGATTTTTGGTCTTACCCTTGAAAGTTTATTTTCCTTTCCTCATAAGTTGGGGGAAAGCATTGTATTTCAAACACCCCATTGCTGGTTTCAACATTACAAACAGGGAAACAAAAGCAAATTTCCATTTTCAGTCACTTTATTTGGTGAAACATTCCAGCACCTAAGTTTTTTGTACAGGTGTTTGTGTGTGTGTAGTAACTACCAATTTAAGAACAGATTGCGTTTGAAAAATTAATTTTTAAAGCAGTTGCTTGGATCTCAGATCTGTTTCTAATGAAAATAATGAAAGGTTTAGTTCTTCGTAATGGACCGTTAAGTTCTTAATACGTAGACAAATTGTATGTGAAATGGACCGTTTAGTTGTTAATATGCAGACAAACTTTATATGAAACTAAAACTTGAGCAGTCTGAAACCCTTGAGGACTAGGTTATTCTGCGTAACAGAGGATTCTTTCATCGCTAAATGAAGTTTAAACACCAGTTTTGAATGTTCAGCAGAATGGCAGATGCTCAATAAATAGTTGAGTATTAAATATCCCCATGGAGTTTACATCCTAAAAAAAGAAAATCTTTCAAAAGAGTTTTATATAGTTCCGTGCCTCAGGAATAAACACACGAATATTTCTTGCTGAGTCAACTATTATTTTACAATATGCGGTCTGTGAAAGTATATAGGGCATTTTGCCTCTATCCTAAGTAGTACTACAAAGAAATACATTTCAATGCTAATAACTTAAACTGGTAGGGTTGTAAGGATTTTTATTCTGTAATATTGTATAATGAAATATTTTAAAAATAGTAAAAGTGTCTGTGTAAAACATCTGATTCTAAACATCTTTAATAGGTGGAATCCAAGTCAAAAATGAAAAAAACAGACCATCTCTGAAATCTCTGAAAACTGATAACAGGCCAGAAAAATCCAAATGTAAGCCACTTTGGGGAAAAGTATTTTACCTTGACTTACCTTCTGTCACCATATCTGAAAAACTTCAAAAGGACATTAAGGATCTGGGAGGGGTAAGTGAAAACCGTACACTGGCATAGAAGGAAAAATTTGTAACTAGTACTTTCTACTGTGTAATCATTTAAATTTTTCATTTTGGAAAACGCTTCTATTAGCACCAAGCTTAACATTTTTATCAGCTGTTTATCGTTAACAAAAAACCATTTGTTTTAACCTTTTGTGGACTGACAGACCTTTCAGGTTTCTCTGATTAGCAGTCTAGTGTAAAGTTCTTAGAGTGTAAGACTCCCCTGTCCTAGTGGAACTGCTCATTGACTGCTTACTGTAATGTTGGAATGTCCTCCAGATAACAGCAATTTCTTGATTATGAATCTTGGGGAGCTACATAAGTTTGTCTGGACTAGTGTAACAGTTAAGAATGTTACTACAGAACAGCCATGCAAACCACAGTTAAAATTGTTCCTGAGTGATACAGATGTTGTTTCAACAGAATGAATGTTATTAAAGGAAAAGAAATTTGCATTAAGAATCTGGAATACCTTCTTTCCTACCTTATACACTGATTAGATGATTGGGAAATTAGAAAACTCAGGCAAAATTCTAGGACCTTAATAGGATTAAGGTTGATATTGGCTGAATTTTGGCAAATGAGGTAATTAAGATTTTTTTCTGTTTAAAAGGTTCATGCTGGACTTTGACTTTCTGAAGGTCTGCGTCTTTGAATGTCTAAACTGATCCTTTCATTCCCAGACTAGTAACTTTTCAATTTATTTTTATTTTTATTTTGAGACGGAGTCTCATTCTATATGGCCTAGGTTGGAGTGCAGTGGTGCGATCTCAGCTCACTGCAACCTCCTCCTCTCAGGTTCAAGTGATTCTTGTGCCTCAGCCTCTGTCTCCTGAGTAGCTACGATTACAGGCATGTGCCACCACTCCTGGGTAATTTTTGTATTTTTAGTAGAGTCAGGGTTTCACCGTGTTGCCCAGGCTGGTCTCAAACTTCTAACCTCAGGTGATTTGCCCACCTCAGCCTTCTAAAGCGCTGGGATTGCAAGCATGAGCCCTCCAGGCCCAGCCGATTCCCAGACTAGAAACTTATCAGAAGAACATGTGCTAACAGGTTTCCTGGAACTGTTAATATATTTTATTTACTTATCTCTGAAAAGTTATTCTACTTTTTTACTATTCATTTTGTTAAACTAAAACACTGTCACATGCTTGTAATAGTTGTATTTATGGTAATGATCATATGACAGCATTCTTAAAGGTCATGTTTTCTAGGCCTGCCACCCTATTGACTATACACCTATTAAGAGTATCTTAATGTGTTAAGGACCTTAGACATTGAGTAAAAAATACCCCTTCATCTTAGAAACAAAGTACTTGAGGTCCAGAGAAAGTAAATGGCCCAATTAGAGCAGTATTAGCTTCTTAATTCCCACAGCAACATAGTACCTGCACCATTCTGTTCCTCTAGCAATCAATGGCTACAAATGGCTATCTGGCTGGTAATTCACACCTGTAATCCTAGCACTTTTGGAGGCCAAGGCAGGTAGATGACTTGAGGCCAGGAGTTCAAGACCAGCCTGGGCAACATGGCAAAACTCCATGTCTACTGAAAAATACAAAAATTAGCCAAGCATGGTGGTGCATGCCTGTAGTCCCAGCTATTCGGGAGGCCGAGGCATGAGCATCACTTGAACCTGGGAGGCGGAGGTTGCAGTGAGCCAAGATTGTGCCACTGTACCCCAGTATGAGTGACAGTGAGACCCTATGTCCAAAAAAAAAAAAAAAAGGTAGCTCAAAGTAGCTATCTGATACAGTTTGATGACAATTTTCTCAAATATGATGAACAACCCATTAACTCTAGGTCTAATGGTCTAAATCAGTGATACTTAGATTTGTGTTTTTATCAGTAGAACCCTTTAAACAAAATAATATTCAGAAGTCCAATGTGTAAAGCCTGTAAAAAGGGAACCCCTTGGGCTAAAACAGCAGTACAGAGGCTAAAGCAAGAACTACTTGCCCCGTCACCTTCTTTCTTCTATCTCCACAGCAGTTCCTGAGGTAATTGCAAGAAACAAATTTTGAATTACTTCTGCCATACATAATAGTTGAGGGACCTTTTGGTTTTACATACTTAGTCTTTACCCCTGAAATGATTGAAGTAGACCAGTGAAGTTAGGAGCATATTAAGGGTGTAAGTTCCCAAATTTTCCTTTGGATTTCCCAAAAATCCAAAGCTGTGGATTTTCAATGGAATTTGATTTATTAACTTTCTCCTAAAAAATGTCTTATTTATTGAATTCTGATCTTCCCATACTATCTTTTCTATAATTAATGATATTTAATCCTCAGGTCCTGGTTTCTGTCTTCAGCACATTTACTGTTTCTATCACTAAAAAAGATTTTGTCATAACGATCTTCTACATGAGTTAATTTATCTTCACATCATTACTTTAGGTGCCTTTTTAATTCACCATTTCACGTACTTTGGTTTCTATAATCTCGGTGAAAACATCTTAATATCCCATTTATCTGCAGAGTATGCTTCTGACAAATTTAACCACTGAGAGCACAGCACCCAGATTCTGATATAAAGGGGAAATACCTTTAATAGTGCAAGAAAAGTAGGTGTTACAGAACCATCTAAGGAGGACATGGGATCAGCCACAGTTAGGTCCATGTCTAAATAGTTTTGGCTAAAATAAGGCAATTGGAGAGGAACAGAAATGTAGGCCGATACCTTGGCGTATTAGCTTGAACTGTAAAATGTTTGATGTTCGTCATGATCACCTTGAGTCATCAGAAAATACGTTTTGAGTTTACTCTTTAAATGGCATAGATTCAACAATATCTAATACATTGAAGACCCTGGTAAAATTGATTCAACAAATGTTTGAGTATGATGTGCACTGCACTCTGTGTTTTGGTAGATTCAAAAATGAATCCAGCCAGGCTCGGAGGCTCACGCATGTAATCCTAGCACTTTGGGAGGCTGAGTTAGGCGGATCACTTGAGGTCAGGAGTTTGAGACCAGCCTGGCCAACATGGTGAAACCCCATCTCTACTAAAAATACAAAAATTTAGCTGGGCATGGTGGCGCACACTTGTAATCCCAGCTACTGGGGAGGCTGAGGCAGGAGAATCTCTTGAACCTGGGGGTTGGAGGTTGCAGTGAGCCAAGATTGTGCCACTGCACTCCACCTGGGCAACAGAGCGAGACTGTGTCTCAAAAGAAAAATAAAATAAAAAATGAATCCTTATGTCCATCCCATCCTCATGTTCTAACCTAGCTAGAGATGACATTGGTACAAGTAATTGTGTTAATAATACAACATAGAATGTCAAGAGAAAGGAGAGATTAGTTCCAGCTGAGGAATTGTGGGTTTTGTTCACACACAACTGGAACACGGCTTTGAAGAATGATGAAGATTTGGGCATGTGGGAATTCATTCAAAAATTATTCCACCACTGTCTCCAGTATATCAGCACTATTTTAGATCCTAGAGATACAAAAATAAGTAAAATATAACCCTCTAGGTATTCTTTGTCTAGTGGAAACCTCAGACAACTGAATAATTTATGTTAGAGTGTTGTCAATGCTTTGACAGAAATATGTAGAAATTGCTATTAGAACACAGAGATAGGAATGATTAACTCTGCCGTTTGGAATCAACAGAGATAAAGTTTGAGCTGGATCTTGAAGTCTTAGTTAGCAAGGCAAATAGACATACTAAATAGAGGAAAGCATATTTAAAATATATGTCAATGCAGTTTGTTTGTACAACTACTAATGTTGCAGTGGGATTTGAGCTTAGGATATAGGTGGGGGAAGTGACAGCAAACAAAATTATATTAGGGCTAGATTGCAAAGGGCGTTTTATTCACTCTAAGGAGTTTTAACTATGTAAGAAATTAAAAACCAAAGGAAATAAGTGGTACTAACATAAGAACAGACATACAGACCAATAGAGTAGAACAGAGAACCCAGAAATAAACCCTTGCATATATGGCTAATGGATTTTCAAGAAGGGTGCCAAGACCATTCATTGGGGAAAAGATGATCTTTTCAACAGCTGGTGCTGGGAAAACTGGATATCTACATGCAGAAAAATGAAGTTGGACCTTTACTGTCATATGCGTAAATGAGCTCAAAATGGATCTAAGATTTATTTGTAAGAACTGAAACTCTTAGTGGAAAATATAGGGAGAGATCTTCATGACATTGGATTTGGCAGTGATTTCTTGGATATGATACCAAAATCATGTGCAACAAATGAAAAGTATGAAATTGGACTTCATCAGGATTAAGAACTTTTGTGCCTCAAAGGACATTTTCAGGAGTGAAAGAACGCACAGAATTGCAGGAAATCTTTGCAAATTGTACATCTGCTAAGGGATTAATATCCAGAATACTTATATAAAGAACTTCTGTGACCCAAGAACAAAAGGACAAATGGCCCAATTTAAAAATGGGCAGAGGAACTGAAAAGACATTTACTCAGAAAAGATATACTAATGGCAGATAAGTACATGAAAAAATGTTCAACGTCACTAATCATTAGGGAAATGTCAATCAGTAATCACTTAACACCTGTTAGGATGGTTACTGTTAACCAGAAAAATAACAAGTGTTAACAAAGATTTGAAGAAGTAGAACCCTTGTGCACTCTGAGTGGTAGTGTAACACGATATAGCCACCATACAAAATAGTATGGGTAGTTTCTGAAAAAAGTAAAAAATTGAATTACTATATGATTTTGCAATTCCATTTCTGGCTATACATACAAAATAATTGAAAGCAGGGTCTCAAAGATATTTATTATTCACAATAGCTAAAAAGTGTGAACAGCCTTAATGTCCAACAAGTAAATAGATAAAGAAGAGGTTGTATATACATACAATAGAATATTATTCAGCTTTAAAAAGGAATGAAATTCTAATACATGCTACAACATGGGTGAACCACAAAAAACGTGCTAAGTGAAGGAAGCCAGTTACAAAAGAACAAATGTAGGATTCCATTATATGAGTTATCTAGAATAGCCAATTTCAGAGATGGAAAGTAGAATAAAGGTTATGAGGGGCTGGGAAAAATGAGGAATGAGGAGTTACTGTTTAATGGGTACAGACTTTCAGTTTGGGATCATGGAAAAGTTATAGAAATGTTTTAGTAGTGATGGTTGCATAATGTGAGTGTACTTACTGCCGTTAAATTGTACACTTAAAAATGGTTAAAATGGCTAATTTTATATTTATCACAATAAAAGTGTATAGGAGATCGGGTTTCTTATGAAAAATTAGAACCTCTGACATTATTAGGGCCTCATATTTATGAAAATGAAGGCAGTATTTGATGTGTGAATTATTTGTATTATTGCCTGGCCCTTATAGGCATTTGAGTCTAATCCCTGGAATAAATAAATGTAGGTACATTATTTACTGTTCAATGAAAATGAATGTTGGTCGGAAAAGAAATGATTTGCACTTAACCAAGGAGGCCACTGGTCTCAGTAGCAAATGCTGCTTAATGCTTAGATGAAGTTAACTTATCTGTTACACACTTCATTTTTATTATCATTTATAGTGTGGGATCCTATAGAAAATAGATACAGCTATTTAAAATATTCTGAGAAGTCTTTCATGGATGTAAATTGTTACTGCTTATTAATGATTCACAGTTTACTTCTGCTTAGTGGGTATTTATAGTATACATATTTATACTATGTATTTTTCTAATAATATTAGTAATTCTACTTAGTATTTACTTCTCCCTATTTTTATTTTCCTGACCCTGGCGATCTTTAATAACCTTCACTTTGGTACATGTCTTTATAAGTAAATTCAGATACTTAGGCGGTGGTTTTCAAACATTTTAGTAAAGAAATTCTATTCAAACAGTCTTACACTCTTAAGCGTAAAGGTTCCCTCCATCCTGTAAGTTGAAGCCTCAAGGGAAGGTGTAATAATGATTGATTTAGACTTGTATTGTCTGCTATGGTAACCATTAGTGATATGTGGCTATTAAATTTAAAGTCTTTAAAATCAAATTTAAAAATCAGTGGCTTGAGCTAGGCGCAGTAGTGTGTGCCTGTACTCTCAGGTACTTGGGAGGTTGAGGTAGGAGGCTCTCTTGAGCCCAAGAGTTCAGGGCCAACCTGGGCAACATAACAAGACCCCATCTCTTAAGAAACAAAAAATTCAGTGGCTTAATCACACTACCAAGGCCATTTCAAATGCTTTGGTAAGTTGTATTGGACACTGCTGCTTTAGATCATGGGCTTGAGTCAGAATGCCTATGTTCAAATTATATTATTTGCTACTGGGTAACATTAAGCAAGTCACCTCTCTTCACTTTTTATCCTGCAGAAAATGTAGATAGTATCATGAGGCTGTTCCATAGATTAAGTTAATTAACATATATAAAGTATTTAAGAATAGTATCCAGCACATGCTGCTGTTGTGCTGTTATAGGAGCTCTTATACTTCCTCAGAGATCTAGGTTCAGAAAAATACAGTATAAAAACCACCAATTTACGAAATAATTGCATCAAATTGAAATTTTTTACTGTGCTTGGCATATGAAACAGTTTATGGTTTTTATGACCTAGTTGAAAATACCTTGGTGGCATGTGCCTATAGTCCCAGCTGTTCAGAAGGCCAAGGCGGGAGGATCACTTGAGAACAGGGGGTTGAGGCTGCAGTGAGCTATGATTGTGCCACTGCACTCTAGCCTGGATAACACAGTGAGACCGTGTTTCTTAAAACAAATTTATAAATAAAAATACTTTGTTCTCTTCTAGCGAGTTGAAGAATTTCTCAGCAAAGATATCAGTTATCTTATTTCAAATAAGAAGGAAGCTAAATTTGCACAAACCTTGGGTCGAATTTCTCCTGTACCAAGTCCAGAATCTGCATATACTGCAGAAACCACTTCACCTCATCCCAGCCATGATGGAAGTTCATTTAAGTCACCAGACACAGTAAGTCTCTTAAATATGCTTTGAGACTCAGAAGGGCTATATCCTGAAGATCTCCTGGTTTTTAATAGCAAGGTGGCAGTAGAGTTTACTTATGTAGAACATTTGCAAAGCCACATGATGTGTGGCTCTCTAGTCCTCAATAAAGTTGCTGTCTTTTAGGAAGGTGGGTTTTTCCTAATAGTTCTTGTGTAATCATACTCTGATTGCTTAGGTATACCCTTGTATTTAGGGATGGCGTGTAGTTTTTAGAATAATTTACAACTAAAAAGTTAAGAGCAGATCATTCTTTGAAGAAGAAATAGAAACCTTTTTAATTTTCAGAGCAGGGGTCAGCAAACTCTGGCCCATGGGCCAAATCTAGTCTGTTGCCTTTTTTGTACAACCTGCAGGTTAAGCATGGTTTTTACATTTTCAAATAGTTGTGTAAAAATATCAAAAGAATATTTTGTGACAAGTAGAAATTTTATGACATTCAGATTTCATTGTCATAATGTTTTATTGGAACACAGCCATACCTGTTTGTTTAGGTATAATCTGTAGTTGTTGTGTTTTAGGCAGAATTGAATAGTTGCTGTAGAGACCATATGGCCAACAAAGCTTAAAATGTGTACTGTCTGGTCCTTTGCATAAAAAGGTTGCCAGCCCCTATTCTAGAATTATTGAAATCACATCCCTACCACTCCATGGCCAGTAAATTGAAAGATGCAAGGAAAGACAAATTAAATTGATTTAATTGGGTGTGAGGTGGGATAGGATCAAATGAGAGATAAAATGTTTATTTCAGTTTTTAGGTTGAAGTGTAATTAAGTTATTATTTTACAATATTCTCCTCGACTTACCTATTATAGCCATTTGAAAATTAAGGAAAATGAGGAGAAAACAGAAGAAATGAGTCAGAAAGGAGCTATCACTTGAAAAAAGAGATACAATACATAGAAGAAAGAATGGAAAAGAGATCAAGAAAGGACCATGCATTCTCTGAGTTAATGCTTTTTTGGAGCAAGGAGACAATACACCAGCGATTCCAAAATAATTGTTGGTTATGGCATTTCAACGAGTTTTCCTAGTACTTTATTTAAAAAGTGAAGTAACGGCTGGGTGCGGTGGCTCACGCCTGTAATCCCAGCACTTTGGGAGGCTGAGGTGGGTGAATCACGAGGTCAGGAGTTCAAGACCAGCCTGGCCAACATAGTGAAACCACATCTCTACTTAAAAAAAATACAAAAATTAGCCGGGCATGATGGTGCGTGCCTGTAGTCCCAGCTACTTGGGAGGCTGGGGCAGGAGAATCACTTGAACCCGGGAGGCAGAGGTTGCAATGAGCTGAGATCACACCACTGTACTCTAGCTTGAGCGACACAGCAAGACTTTGTCTCCAAAAAAAAAAAAAAAAAAAAAAAGGTGAAATAACATGTGAAAACAGTATATAAAATTTATTGTTTTTCTGAAATCTCTGATTTAATAGGAACTAAAATGTAAGCCAATTAATTATAAAGAATTCCAGTGAAACCTAGCTATTTTATTTTTCATGTTGAATAGAATTTACTACAAAACCAAAGAGGTCACCCAAAAAAGAGAAACTTTTTAATATGAGACCCAAAAGTTCTCTTTTCTTAGCTGCTTTACCTTTTTAACCTGTTCTCCAGTTAAGCACTATGTTTTAAATTTTTCTGGTCTTTTTATAGGTGTGTTTAAGCAGAGGAAAATTATTAGTTGAAAAAGCTATCAAGGACCATGTAAGTAGGAACTATAAAGATTCACATTGTACATTTTGTTATTAAAAACTCAACTGGAAATTACAGATATTCTTGAAATTTTCCTTTCCACATTTTTAGGCAAAAACCTGAATCTCAGCATATATTTTATTTTACAAAGTAAAGAACTTACTTTTCATGTAGAAACATCCCCATCTTGTGGCCTTTTAAAATATTACTGGAAACTTAAAACTTGCCTTATAGTTTTCATTAAATTACCAAGGATGTGGGTATAAAGTGGGATTGATTTTAGGAATTCTATAGAAAATCTTGATGTCCTAGCTATTGTAACTCTATAGGGTCTGTTACAAATAACTGCCTTAGTGACATTAAACTTCAAATAATTGAATTTTTATTAAAATTTAGCTCATCTTAAATAATTTCCTAGAACAACCATAAAACTTTTTTTTTTACAGGATTTTATTCCTTCAAATAGTATATTATCAAATGCCTTGTCATGGGGAGTAAAAATTCTTCATATTGATGGTAAGGATTTTATAATTGTTTTTTGACAGTATTTGTTTTAAGTGTCCATGTCTGTCCTTTGGTTCCTGACTTTACATAGTGAAATTTTGATAGCAGGGATGTCTTAATCTGTTTCCTATTGCTTATAACAGAATACCTGAAACTGGGTAATGTACAAAGAAAAGGAATTTATTTCTTACAGTTATGGAGACTAAGAAGTCCTGGGTCAAAGGGCTGCATCTGGTGAGGGCCTTCTTGTTGGTGGAGACTCTGCAGAGTCTTGAGGCAGCACAGAGTATCACATGGTGAGGGGCTGAGTGTGCTAGCTCAGGTCTCTCTTTCTCTTTTTATAAAGATATCAGGTCCACTCCCATGATAACCCATTAATCCATGAATTCCCTCTTAAAGGTCCCATCTCTCAGTAAGTACTGTCACACTGGGGGTTAAATTTCAACATGAGTTTTAGAGGAGACAAACATTCAGACCATAGCATAAGAGATACCTATAATGGTAAATTCTTTATCTAATTTAACTACAAGAAAATATCACTGTTTAACTCCAAGAGTAAAATTGCTAATCTTAAAACCTTCTTTCTTTTAATAAAGACATTAGATACTACATTGAACAAAAGAAAAAAGAGTTGTATTTACTCAAGAAATCAAGTACTTCAGTAAGAGATGGGGTATGTTTTCTTTTTCAATTTTTAAAGTGACCAAGCTTGGTTTTTTTACTTACGTATTTGCAAAGTTTTCCTCCCAAGCAGAAAATATCCTAGGGGCAAGCCTGTGTATGATGTGCCTGTTTCTGTTATTCAAATAAATCGAGTGTCATTTAACTTTAGGGTTGTACTCACCAGGTAAAAGTTGTTCCTGGAATAGTGGCATAGGTCGCTTCCTCAGCCCCCTTTTGTTACTGCTGTTTTGTAACAGGTACTTTTATTTATTCTGTAGAAAAATCACTAAAATCAGCCTGTTGTATAAACGTTCCTAATGTAAGTAATGTACTTCTTTTTGGAATATAAATATGTACTATCCTTTTCAACTGCTCTAAATGGTATAACAAAATCTCGTTTTAGCATAGCTAACTGGCCTGACCTTGAAATACTTGTTAAACAACCACATTGGTTGTTAACGTTCTGTTAAACCTAATGTTCCCATTATCTTCAGTCCCTTTCCTTTTCCTTGTTGCTTCTTTGAAGCATCTATACAGTTTCAGGCTTTTTCCATCCTTTAAAACAAATACAGTAAAACCTCCCTTGATCCCACATCCCTACCTACCTATTATCTAATCCTTGTAATTCCTCATCCAAAGTTCTCAGATCTCTACTTTTATACTTCCCATTCACTTTTCAACCTACAAGGTATAAAACTTCTGACCAGTTTTCCAAATCATTTTGATACTTTTTAAACCCAGTCATATTGGTTCTCTCAGCTGTTGTCCATTTCTTCCTTAAACTTTTCTATTCTCTTCTGAAATTTCATCTCTTAGCTTTCTCCTGATCTCTTCATATTTCTCAGACCATTCTTTTGTGGCCTACTTTTCCTTTGTTCAATATTTAAATGACAGGGATCTAAAAATAATAAACTGATAAGAGTGTATATAGAGACATGAAGCCATAGTAGGATGGCATATTTTAGAAATCTTGTATAGCATAATACAGCCTGATCTTTGAGTGTGCCAGTGACAAAAGATAAAGCTGGAAAAACCAGCATGTTAAGATTATAAAGTACCTTGCCCTATATAAAGGAGTTAGATTTTATCTTGGAGAGTTTGGAAAATTATGGAAAGATTATAAATAGAGTAACCTGATTGGATAGTCATTTTGGAAAGATCTTCTGGTTGACAGTAAAGAATGAATTATTTGGCAAGACTGAAAAATGGCTTTTGAACTCTTGAACAATTTTTTTTTTTTTTTTTTGAGGCAGGCCCTCCCCCTCTGTCATCCAGGCTGGAGTACAGTGGTGCCATCTCAGCTCACTGCAACCTCCTCCTCCCGGGCTCAAGCGATCCTCCCACCTCAGCCTCCCAAGTAGCTGGGACTACAGGCATGAGCCACCGTACCTGGCTAGTTTTTGTATTTTTTGTAGAGACGGGGTTTCGCCATGTTGCCCAGGCTGGTCTCGAACTCCTGAGCTCAAGCTATCCACCCGCCTCAGCCTCCCAAAGTGCTGAGATTACAGCCATAAGCAACCACACCCAGCCCTCATTTTTTACTGAATACATTTTATAGGATGACCACTTGGTATATACATGCCGTATATAAGGCTGCATAAACTTTTTATGCATTTCTCGTTTTTAATAAATTCACGTTTATATAAGGATAATTTGCAGAAAGCAACAAAGTAGTATTTAAATAAAACTATCAATCAAAGTGTAAAAATGATTTGGAAAACTGGTCAGAAGTTTTATACCTTGTAGGTTGAAAAGTGAATGGGAAATATAAAAGTAGAGATCTGAGAACTTTGGATGAGGAATTACAAGGATTAGATAATAGGTCTGGGTTAAAAATTTAAATGACTATTTCCAAATTTTCACAAAATATAAGTGGATATTCCTGTATTGGACTTTGCTAAATGGCATATAAATTGCCTCTACCACACTTAGCAGATTGTTTGGATTGTATATAGAAGTAAATGTTTAAAAAAATGTAAACTCATAAGGACATTTATGGACTCTGAATACACAAATTATGTCTGTCTTCATGTATATGTGTATATATATCTGAAATAAGTTTCATAGAACAATAGTTACCCTCCTTAATGTGGTGGATATTAATATTTCTGTGGTATTTTCATTTCTTAAAAATATTGATCACAACTCTGAATTGACTTTATAGCCTACTGATAGGTCACAGTTTGCAGTTTAAAAAGCATTCTGGGGGCTAAGCATGGAGGCTTATGCCTCTAATCCCAGCACTTTGGGAGGCCAAGGTGGGCAGATCACACGAGGTCAGGATACCAGCATGACCAACATGGTGAAACCCCCATCTCTACTAAAAATACAAAAATGCCCGGTGTGGTGGTGCATGCCTGTAATCCCAGCTACTTGGAAGGCTGATAGAAGAGAATCACTTGAAGCTGGCAGGCAGAGGTAGCAGTGAGCCGGGATCACCCCCACTGCAGTCCAGCCTGGGTGACAGAGTGAGACTCCATCTCAAAATAAATAAATAAATGGATGGATGGATAGATAGCATTCTGGGATGTTATGTCAGTGATCCTGAGAAATGTTCAAGGCCTGGCTTAAGGCAATAACAAAGGGGAGGGGAAGATTTGAAAGATACTTAATTGGTTTCAGTGCCTAGTCAGTGTCTTGAGTCTAGTATTTACTAGATTATTAACATCATAAAGACCAAGTTTAGTCCTCATCATTCCTTCAGTAGTAACAAATATTAAATGCCTGCTATGTGCCATGCAGTAGGAGCCCTCATAAAACGAAGAAAAGATAAAATAGCTATGAAACAGATCTTAATCTTTCTTCTAAAATAAAAATGATAATAATACCAAATATCTTGATAGTCCAGAATCTATATCTGGTTGAATTGATACTCATACTGGAAATTTTTATTTTGGTATATAAGAAAGGAATGTTTCTGGAAAATTTTTAGTTTGCCAAGTACTAAAACAAAATTAGTGAAATTACATTTAAGAGTCTTGAATGGACATGTATAAATTTCAAAATGTTTATTAGGTTCCCATAAATGTTCTTATTAGTATGTATCTTATTTAAAATATGGTAATTGGATAAAGGTATTTTACTCATTGCTTTATTTAAAGTGCTTTGAGGTTTGGGCTTTTCTTTTTTTTTTTTTTTTCCAGTTTACTCAAAACTTATTTTGTCGAATTTTTTACATACATGTGCAGGAGGAATATTGGTCTTTTTCTTTGATGTCTTTGTCTGGTTTTAGTGGAATGTTTAATCCTATTTTCAGAACACACTGATATGTGTTCCTGTTTCTATTTTCCAGAGAAGTTTTTATAGAATTGTTTTTATTTCTTTAAATGTTTGGTAGAATTTACTAGCAAGGCTATCTAGCCCTGACATTTTTCTTTGTTGGAAGATTCTTAACTATGAATTCAATTTATTCATTAGATATAGGATAATTCAGGTTATTTTCTCTTCAGTGCATGTTGGTAGTCTGTTTTTCAAGGAATTTGTCCATTGTGTCTTGGTTGTCAAATTGATGGGCAAAGAGTTGTTTCTAATACTCCCTTATTAACTTTGTAATGTCTATGGGAACTGTAATAATGTCCCCTCTTCCATTCCTGATAATGCTATTTTGTGTCTATTCCTTTTTTCTTAGTCAATCTGGCTAGTTTTACCAGTTATTAATATTTTCAAGGAAACAGCCTTTAGTGGCATTGATTTTTTGTGTGTGTGGTTTTCTGTTTTCAGTTTTATTGATTTCTGCTCTTATTTCTTTTCTTCTGCCTATTTTGGGTTTATATTTCTATTTGTAGTTTCTTAGGTAAAAAGCTTGAATCATTGATTTGAGACCTTTCTTTTATCTTAATGCTATAAATTTTCTTTAAGCTTTCCTTTAGCTGCATCCCACACATTTTACACTGGATATTTTATCAATAGACTTTATTTTTTTAGAGAAGTTTTTGGTTCCCAGTAAAATCGAATGAAAGGTACAGAGATGTTTTACATACTCCTTGTCCTAACATCCCACACCAGAGTGGTACATTTGTTATAATCGATGAACTTAACATTGACACATCATTATCATCCAAAGTTCATAGTTCACATTTTGGCTCACTCTTAGTGTTGTACATTCTATGAGTTTTGACAAGTATGATTATGACGTGTGTCCATCATTATAGTATCATACAGAATGGTTCCACTGCCCTAAAAATCTTCCGTGTTTATCCCCCCATTCCCTTAAACCCCAGATAACTCCTGATGCTTTTACATTCACCATGGTTTTGCCTTTTCCACAGTGTCATATAGTTGGAATCATACAGTGTGTTTCCTTTTTTGATTGGCTTCTTTCACTTGGTAATGCTTATTTAAGGTTCCTCCATGTCTTTTCATGGCTTGACAGCTCTTTTTAAAATCTGAGTAATATTTCATTTTCTATATGCAGCACAGTTTATCCATTTACCTACTAAAGGACATCTTGGTTGCTTCCAAGTTCTGGCAGTTATGCATAAAGCTAATGTAAATATCCACGTGCAGGGTTTTTTTGTGGACATATTGTCAACTCATTTGGGTAAATAACCAAAGAGTATGATTGCTGCTTCACATAGTAAGACTAGGTTTAGTTTTGTTATAATATGCCAAACTGTCTTCCAAAGTAGTTGTGCCATTTTGTATTCCCACCAGCAATGAATGAGAGTTCCTGTTGCTGATAGGTTGGATTTTCATCTTTATTCAATTAAAAATATTTTTAAATTTCTCTTGTGACTTACTCATTGTCCTGTGGGGTTACTTTTATCATTTGTTTCCAAATAGGAATTTTTCAGCTATCTTTCTGTTTACTGATTTCTATTTTAATTCTGTTATGGCCATATAACGTGCTTTTTATTATTTTAGTTTTAAAAAATTTATCAGAGTTACCCAAAATATAGTCTATCTTGGTAACATTCCATGTGCAGTTGAAGAAAATGTATATTCTGCTGTGGTTGGGTACAGTATTGTTTACAAGTCAGTTAGATCAACTTGAGTGATAGCGTTGCTCATGTTTTCTGTATCCAGGATATAGAAATGTTGCTCAGGCCTTGTTCTGTCCACTACTGAGAGAGAGGGATATTGAAATTACCAAGTAAAATTGTGGATTTGTCTAGTTTTCCTTTTAGTTCTAGTACAGTTTTGAGTCATTTTGAAGCCTGTTGTTGGATATGTACACATTTAATATTCTTTTTTTTTTTTTTTTTTTTGAGACGGAGTCTCGCTCTGTCGCCCAGGCCGGACTGTGGACTGCAGTGGCGCAATCTCGGCTCACTGCAAGCTCCGCTTCCCGGGTTCACGCCATTCTCCTGCCTCAGCCTCCCGAGTAGCTGGGACTACAGGCGCCCGCCACCGCGCCCGGCTAATTTTTTGTATTTTTAGTAGAGACGGGGTTTCACCTTGTTAGCCAGAATGGTCTCGATCTCCTGACCTCATGATCCACCCGCCTCGGCCTCCCAAAGTGCTGGGATTACAGGCGTGAGCCACCGCGCCCGGCCTTCTTATGTCTTCCTGGTGAATTGACCCTTCTAGCCTCTGTAATGCTCTCTCTTCTGTCCCTGTTAATTCTTATTCTGAAGTCTGCTCTCTGATGTAGACCATTCTGGCTTTATTTTTATTAGTATTTACATAGTACTTTTTGCAGTCTTTTGCATTTAACATATCTATATATTTAAAATGGACTTCTTGCAGATATTGTCTTTTTCATCAAATTTGGCAATCTGTCTTTTAATTGGTAGTTTAAGTGATTTATACTTAATGTAACTATTGATCTTGTATTTAGGTCTACCATCTTACTGTTAGTTTTCTGCTGATGCCCTCTGTATTTTATTTCTGTTTCCCCCTTTCCTGCCTTCTTTCAGATTGATCTGCCAGCTTTTTAACTCTCTTCATTTTTGTTGTTTTATTTTAGTGGTTGCTATAGGATTTACGATATACATGTGTGACCTTTCGCAATCTATCTTGAATTAATATTTACCTTCTTCAAATAAAATGTAGAAGCCTTAAAATATTCAAGCCCTTTTACCTTCCCCACCAACCTTTATGCCATAATGTTTAGTACATCTTCTTATAATGAAAATGTCACCAGACAATGTTAAACTTTTTGCTTGAAAAAGTCATATTTTAGGGCTGGGCCTGGTGGCTCACACCTGTCATCCCAGCACTTTGGGAGGCCAAGGTGGGTGGATCACTTTAGCTCAGAAGTTCGAGACCAGCCTGGGCAACATGGTGAAACCCCATCTCTACAAAAAATATATATATAAATTAGCCAGGCCTGGTGGCATGCGCCTGTAGTCCCACCTGCTTAGGAGGCTGAGGTGGCATGATGGCCTTAGCCCAAGAGGCGGAGGTTGCAGAGAGGCAAGATCATGCCACTGCTTGCGACAGGGCAAGACCCTGTCTCGGGGAAAAAAAAGAAAAAAAAAGTTGGGTTTTAAAGAAAGCGACAGGAGGAAAATAGTCCTATTAACCCAGATGTTAACCTTTCCATTACTCTTCCTTCCTGAAATTACAGGTTTTCTTCGGATATATCCCTTTAGCCTGAAGGACTTACTTTAGCATGTTTTAGAGCAAATCTGGTGGCACAAGGAATTCTCTGAGATATCCTTCATGTGATCATATCTTTACTGGAAAAAGAATCATGAATTGAGAGTTCTTTGTCTCAGCACCTTACTCTTGTCCTAAAACTGTCTTCTGGTCTCCATGGATTCTGACGAGAAATCTGCAGTTACTCAAATTGGTATTCATTTATATCTACTGTATCATTTTTCTCTGGCTGCTTTTAAGATTTTTTTCTTTATCTTTGGTTTCAGAAGTTCGATTGTGCCTACACTTGGTTCACTGAGCTTATTGATTTGTGTAAATTTATGTTTGGAAAGTTTTCAGCTATTATTTTGTTAATTTTTTTTCTTCACTAGTCTCTCCCCTCTTTTTCCACCATTCCAGTTGACAATAAAGTTAGACATCTTGATGTTATTCCACAGATCCCTGTGGCTCTTTTCCTTTTTTCCTTAGTCTTTTTTGTTTCCTCTTTTCTTCCAATTGGAGATTTCTATTCATTTGTCTTGAAGTTCACTAATACTTAATTGTGTCATACATGTTCTGCTATTGAGCTTATCCAGTGAATTTTGTTATCTCACTCAGATAGTATATTTTTCAGTCCTATTATTTTTGTTTGGTTCTTATTTGTAGTTTTTCTGCTGAGAATTTGTCTCTTTCCATTCATCTTAAGTGTGTTTACCTTTACTTTTAAAGTCTTTTTCTAATAATTACAATATCAGGAACATGTTGGGGTTGGCATCTGATTGTCCTTTTCTCTCAAAAATTGATAATGTTTTTCTGGTTGTTTACATGTGAAATTTAAGTTTTGACTGTATACTGGACATTCTAAATGTTGTGTAGGCCCTATATCCTGATAGTCTGTAGGATGCTGATTTTGTTTCTGCCATTGTTTTAGCGGACAGTCATCCCAGTTTTGTTCAGACTGTTCTGTCTTGGTGGTTGTGGGTGGGGTGGATCTAATCTCAGTTTCAATTTTCAAAGCCCTTGCTATGCTGCGTTGGGTCTATCCTTAGCATGTGCAACTTGGAGGTAAGCCCTGCACTTGCATGGATTTATATAGGGAATTAGGGATCCCTTTCTCTAACTTGCTCTTTTCATGGATCAATCTCCAGCTTGCAGTGGCCTCTTTCCCAGGTCTTCTAGTCAGAAAGTGAGGGTTTCTCAATGTTAGCTTAAGCTTGTACTACCTTTACAATCTCAGCCTCCTAATTGGGACCCACCCTCAGGGCAGAACTGTGGGAGAAAAGAAAATAATACAGGGATTCTCTTGGTATTTTTGGCCACTTGAACCTCATTCCTGGTTCTTCCTGCCAGAAAGATAGGAGTTTTAGCTGCTGGCTCTGCCACTGCTGCTAACTCCATGACTGAAGGTTCCAGTTTTGACTTCCTTCCACAATCTGCCTGCTTATTTTACTTTTCATTCTTCAGGTAGTTGCTTATTCAGTGTTGTCCAGAGTTTCTAGTTGTAATCAGTGGAGTTGATTATCCATCTTTAACATATTGAATCTTTGCCTAAATTGACTGACTAATAAATGTTGACTAATTTCTTTATTCAATTTAATACAAAGATTTTGCTGAATAAGGGCATAAAAATAATATGACTTTTAAAAAAACATTTCATTAACTACCTTTTCATTATTGGTTTTCTTTTTATGAAGTCAAAATCAATTATAGCTAGAATGCAAGGTACTTGCTGAGTGTATTGTAAAACATTTAAAAACAATAGTTTTTTTTAACAAAGAATAATCCTTCTTTGATATAGCACTTTTCTGCATGATTTTTTTATCTTGAAGATACTGAGCAATTGCAGTTGCTGTTTTAACTGTACTTTCAAAGCCAATCTTTTCACTATATATTTTTTTTTAGGGCAAAAGAGTTGGTAGTGGTGCACAAAAAACAAGAAGTAAGTATTTTGTGATCTTTAAGTGTATTTGGTTTGCATTTGAAAAATCATAAAAGATCTTCTAAAATCATATAAACCACCCTCTAAATGATTTATTCAAGGCTTTCTTCGTCTTTATAGAACATAGATCCTTGGTGAAGTTTGGTGAAGCCTGTGGACCGCATTTTCAGAATGATGTTTTTTTTAAAACGTTTCCTTTAAAAATCATTAGTCTACCAAGAAAATGAATTATATTAAAATGTAGTTACCAAAATAGTTTTTAATTGTGAAATAGTGATAACTTGCTTTTTATTACACAGAACAGATTCTAGCAGTGAATCTAATTGCCACTTCATTTTGAATTGATAAGCGTAAACAATGCTTTGAGATATCTGCTCAAGCAGTTCATAACTGATGAAAATATGTGCAGTTTCTATTAGCATCAAAGTCGCAGGTACTGCGAATAGTGTGATTTGTTACATTTATAATTGAAGGAAATGCTAAATTTCAGTTTGAGGTTAGTGAAGACAATAGTGTAGTTTTTCTCCTGTTCTAATTTATGACCTTCCTGAATCCTGTTAATTTGAGGGTTCCATTTAGTTTAAGAATCTCAGAATATAGGAGAGAGCTTCTGTTATTTTTGGAAATGAGGTGATAATGGAAGTACCTCATCTGAGGCTTAAAACTTTAAAGTGGATACATAGTTTTTTGTTTGGAGGGTTTTGTTTTGCCACAGTAGTTTTATTAAAAAAAAAAAAGAATCCTGAATTTGCAAGTATCTAATATGTTTTCTATGTTCTCAAGCAGGAAGACTCAAAAAGCCTTTTGTAAAGGTGGAAGATATGAGCCAGTAAGTATTTAAGTCCAATCTGTATGATTTAAGTGCAATACTAAAGAGGAAAATCACCTAACTAATTAGGCTAGCTCGATTAGTACTGTTAGGTTCCTTTGTGTTTGATTTATATTATACTAATGTGCATGCGGCACAAGTTAACGAAAGTAGCATTAATTCATTTGTGCTCAAGGACTGAATTTAGTTTCAGTATGTTGTAGATATTCCTGAAATAGCTGGTTTAGAAAAATCATGACACCGTTTTTTTAGTATTTAAATTATTCTCTGGCTAAATGCAGTACCAAATGATTTAGAACTACTGAAAGATTACGCCTTCATTTGCGAAAAAGAAATTATTAGATGCTATTTAGAAACAGAAAATCTAAGTATAACATCTAACATGGTTGATTTCCAAAATTCTGAAGTATTGTAGGATAGTCTTGTTGTTGTTGTTGTTTGTTTTGATTTTTTGAGATGGAGTCTTGCTCTGTCACCCAGGCTAGAGTGCAGTGGCACGATCTCGGCTCACTGCAACGTCCACCCCACCCCCGGTTCAAGCAATTCTCCTGCCTCAGCCTCCCAAGTAGCTGGGATTATGGGTCTACGCCACCATGCCCAGCTGATGTTTGTATTTTTAGTAGAGATGGGGTTTCACCATGTTGGCCAGGCTAGTCTCTAACTCTTGACCTCAAGTGATCCGCCTGCCTCAGCCTCCCAAAGTGCGGGGATTACAGGCGTGAGCCACTGTGCCCAGCCATGTGGGATAATCTTAATGAAGACCACAGATATAAATAGGCCTGCCATGAGAGAATTAGATTACTTTCTTTTTTCTTTCCACTTATTCATTTAGACATCTGTGGTTAATTCTCTTGGGTACTCACACTGAGGCGACAAAAGTGTATTGAAAACTGCTTTTTATGAAATGTGTTGCTGTGAAGAAAAAAGTGCAATTCAAAAGGAGGCCTAGAAAAGACACTAGTATACGAAAGGACATCCCATGTTCATGAATTGGAAGATATAATATTGTTAAGATGTTAATACCACCCAAAGTGATCTACAGATTCACTGCAATCCCTATCAAAATCCCAATGATGTTTTTTGCAGAAATAGTAAAAACGTATCCTAGAATTCATACGGAATTGTAACAGATGCAGGAAACCCAAGACAATCATTAAAAATAACAACAAAGGCCAGGCGCGGTGGCTCACTCCTGTAATCCTAGCACTTTGGGAGGCCGAGGCAGGCAGATCACGAGTTCAGGAGATGGAGACCATCCTGGCTAATACGGTGAAACCCTGTCTCTACTAAAAATATAAAAAATTAGCCGGGCCTGGTGGCGGGCACCTGTAGTCCCAGCTACTCAGGAGGCTGAGGCAGGAGAATGGCGTGAACCCGGGAGGCAGAGCTTGCAGTGAGCCGAGATCACGCCACTACACTTCAGCCTGGGGGACAGAGCAAGACTCCGTCTCAAAAAAAAAAAAAAAAAAGAACAACAAAGTAAGAGGTCTCACACTTTCTGGTTTTAAAACTTACTGTAATGCTACAGAAATCAGAACAATTTGGCATTGGAATAAAGACATATAAACGAATGGAATAGAATAGAGAGCCTAGAAATAAACCATCACACATATGGCCAAATGATTTTCAACAAGGGTATGAAGATAATTTAATGGAGAAAGGACAGTCTTTTTTAACAGTGTTGAGAAAACTAGATATACACATGCAAAAGAATGGCATTAGACTCCTACCTCACATCATGTTCAAAAATTAACTCAAAATGGACCAAAGACCTAAAATGGTAAAACTCTTGGAGAGAACACAGGGGAAAAGCTTCATGACATTGGATTTGCAGTGCTTTCCTGGACGTGACACCAAAAACACAGATTACAAAAGATAAAATAATTAAATTGGACCATATCAAAAATATAAATTTCTGTGCCTAAAGGGATATAACAGTAAAAAGGCAACCGAAAGGATGGAAGAAGATACTGCAAGTCATGTATCTATTTCTTTTTTTCAGCTTTCTCAGGTTGAACAAGTCATATATCTAATAAATGTTAATATCCAGAATATATTAAGAATTACAAGTCAACAACAAAACAACCCAATTTTAAAAAGGGGCAAAGCGCTGAATAGACATTTTTCCAGAGGTGATACACAAATAGCCAATAAGCATATGAAAAGATGCTCAACATTACTAATCATGAGGGAATTGCAAATCTAAACCACAGTGAGATACCACTTTACATTATTTAGGATGGCTACTATTAAGCAGCCAAAAAGTGAAAGTAATCCAAGTCCATCAGCAAATTAATGGATAAACAGTATGCAGGATGTGTGTGTACACACACTCAATGGAATATTACTCAGCCTTTAAAAGGAATGAAATTCTGACACGTGCAACATGGATAAACCTTTAAGACGTTATGCTAAGTGAAATAAGACAAAAAATACTGCATGATTCCACTCCTGAAGCATCTACGTTAGTCAAACTGATAACAAGAAGTAGAATGGTGGTTGTCAGGGGATATGGAGAAAGGATATTTGGGAAGTTACTGTTTGATGGGTATAGAGTTTCAGTTTTTGCAAGATGAAAATACGTCATCTTACAAAAGATGGACGGTAGCAGTGATGGTACCACAGCATTGTGAATACTTAATGCAACTGAATTGTACACTTAAAATGGTTAAGGTAATAAATTTTATGTGTATTTTACCACAATTTAAAAAATGTTTAAATGTTAAAAATTGTTAGGCCTGAAATTGATTTTTTGAAGGAAAGCCTAAATAATTTGTTATTTCAGATTCCAGCTTAATTATATGATTTTGAAATACAAAACTTTAAACCTTTTTTCTTTAATCATAAAGAATCTCATGTATTTGTCTTTTTATTCTTCTAGACTTTATAGGCCATTTTATCTTCAGCTGACCAATATGCCTTTTATAAATTATTCTATTCAGAAGCCCTGCAGTCCATTTGATGTAGACAAGCCATCTAGTATGCAAAAGCAAACTCAGGTTAAACTAAGGTTGGTTTGAATCTTTACTTTTAGAAGGAATATTCAGAATTTCATCTCAATTTTTCTTTGTAAAGATTTGAAATAGTTTCATTTATGCCATAATGGTTATTTGTGTTTGTAATTACTATTCTGATTACTTTTATAAGTCTGAATCTGTTTAGATGGAGGTGGGGAGGGCCTTAAAATATTTGTGAATAATGAAAATGTGTAGTTTATCTTGAATGATCTGAAATATTCTCCAGAATATTCATTAAATCTTTAGTTTGCTTCTCAATATAGTATAAAGAAATATGATTAAAAGTACTTGCTGATACAAGTCTCTGCAAATTATGCAGATTGTGTGTGATAGTTTAGGACAATAAATTTTTAAAGTTATTCCTTAGGTTCAGCAGTTAATTCTTTACCATGTATGTCTGTCATCAGAATCCAAACAGATGGCGATAAGTATGGTGGAACCTCAATTCAACTCCAGTTGAAAGAGAAGAAGAAAAAAGGATATTGTGAATGTTGCTTGCAGAAATATGAAGATCTAGAAACTGTAAATGTGATTTTATATTTTGGGGGCTTGTTTCGAAAACTGTAATACTTGTGTTTTAAATTTTAGCTTGTTATTCTGATGCAGATATTTTACATTTTAAGAACTCAAGGGAGGAAATGAGTATTGAAAATGAATTTTTATTCAGCAAATACTGAGCGTCTACTACATACTGATCACTACTCTGGGCAAACAGCATTGAACAAAACAGACTTAATTTTTTACCGTTGTGAAGATTATATTCTGTAGGGTAGGGGTGGGATAGGGGTGGAGATAGGTAACCACAGGATAAAAGAAGAATAAAAATATAGAGAGAGAATATTAGATCAGTGCTATGAAAAAATAGAACATAGGAATGGGGATGTTGCTATTTAGCCTAGACAAGGAACACATAACTGATAAGGTGACATTTGAGTAGAGACCTGAGAGAAATGAAGTAATGAGACCTGGATATTGAGATAAGTAAGTGCAAAGGTCCCAATTTAAAATGATTGATGGGACCAAGGAATAGATATTGATAGTCCAGACTAAGTGGTAGTAGAAGTGCTGAAACATGGTCAGATTGTGGATTTGTTTTAAAGGTGGGACCAAGAGGATTTGCCAATGGATTGGATGTTGCAAGTGAGGGAAAATGGTAGTCAAGGGTTACTATAGTATTTTGAACCTTAGCAATTAAAAAGTGGGCTTATTATTTATAATGGGAAGAGAAGAGTTGAAAGAAGTAAAGACCATTGAGGTAGCAGAAAGAAATGGGAGAGTTGCAAAGGGTATATAGGATGAAAATGGGGGAACTATTATAGTTTGTAAACTGATGAGCAAGAGCTATGGATTCAGGCTGCCAGGTTTGAATCCTGGCTCCCTGGCTGTGTGAGCTTGGACAGTGTTTGGCACATAGTAAGTGCTTATTGTTAGCTGTTATTTGAATAATTTTTTACGTAATAGATAGGTTTGTTTTGGTGTTTGGTTCGGTTTTGGTAGAAGATGGTGGGAAAGTTAAGGGGAAAGAATAATACTGGAACATATCTGTCTTCAGACTCTGAATTGAAGTTTGTTTTATAAACCAAAATATATTAGTGTTTTGTGTCAGTTTTTTTGTTTTTATGTAATAAACAAGAAAACTATGATTAGTCTAAAATTGCTTTTAATCAGAAGCTAAAGTATCTCAGAAATATTTCCCCTTCCTGAAAATAATTTTGAAAATTAAAATTACAGATTGGTCCTGAAGTTTTACTTTGCTGGTGTAGCAACAAAATAATCTGGAATGGATGCTTAATTTGGTTCTCAGAAAATGTCGAGGCTAAAAAATGAAAAAATTGTTCAGTGGTTGCCACAAAGAAGAAAATTAGTGAAAGCAGATGTTGAGATTAGAGGTTGGGATTGAAATTTAAGGTCATGTTTTTACAGTTTTCATTTATATGTTTCTTAGTTGCTAAGAGTAAAGACATTTTTTTTTTGAATGTTAGGTTTCATAATGATTCAATTCCACTTGTATCAAGGGATTAATTAACACATATTTTTGAGTACTGGGGAGAAAGCAACAGATAAGGCGGACATCCCTACCCTTATGCACCTTATGGTCTGGCAGTGTAGATAGATAGAAAATATGTATTTGCAAGTGTGATGAGTTTCACAAAAGTAAAGTATGAAGTGCAATGGGAATAAATAATGAGGTTATTTAACCTAGAATGAGGGTCTCAAAAGGCCCAACTGAACACAGGTGACGCTTTAAATTAAGACTTATAAGGATGAGTAAGAAGAACTTAATGGAAATTAGAGGGGAACTAAATAAAAGTTGGAAATTTTTCCTTCCCAGAACATTAACAGAGTGAATCTGAGCTTACAAGATTTGATGCTTCCTTTTAAATTTTGATAATTCTTATTTTTATTACTGGGCATATATAATTTGTATATGGTAAAGTTTGCAAGTAATGAAGGAATACATGTATATTACAGGATGCTAGTTTTTAGAAATGTAATAAAATCATCAAAATGTAAAATTGCATGAAACTAGGGAAATAGAAATTAGGTTCTTTAATGGTCATCTAGAGGAAGCTTCTAAGTACAATTCCCTCCCTGATCAGCTGACAGACAAATAATAAAGTTAGGCTGGAGATTCCACCTATTCACAAGGAACTTTGTTTCCTGTGAATTTTATCTCACTTTGTTGTGAACTTGTTTACTTTTGGTTTTGACCACTCTTTTTGTTTTGTTTTTTGTTTTTATTTGAGATGGAGTCTCGCTCTGTCACCCAGGCTGGAGTGCAGTGGTGCAATCTCAGCTCACTGTAACCTCCATCTCCCGAGTTCCAGAGATTCTACTGCCTCAGCCTCTCTGGTAGTTGGGACTACAGGCATGCGCCACCACGCCTGGCTAATTGTACTTTTAGTAGAGACGGGATTTCACCGTGTTGGCCAGGAGGTCTCGAACTCCTGACCTCAGGTGATCCGCCCTCCTTGGCTCCCCAAAGTGCTAGGACTACAGGCGTAAGCCACTGCGCCCAGTGGTTTTGACTGCTCTTAAGAATGAGAATAACTTCTGTATACTCTGTTATGAGCACTGGGTAATTGAGATCATTTGTTTTGGTCATTCCCAAATGTGTTCTTCAATTACGAATCTTGGCTTTTTTAGTACTTCACAGCATTTAATGTGGTTCATGTGTTTAATCTACTTTCTGGATTCTTTTATGTTAACTTATATTTCATTCATTTATTATTCTATAAGCTCTGCCTTATTTAGTGATAATTGCATGAAGACAAAGTAATAGAGGGAAATGTGTTTTCCAAAATGTTACTGTTGTCTCTCTCTCTGTATCCCTTTTTTTTTTTTTTTTTTTTTTTGAGACGAAGTCTTGCTCTGTTGCCCAGGCTTGAGTACAGTGGTGCCATCTCTGCTCACTGCACCCTCCACCTCCTGGGTTCAAGTGATTCTTCTGCCTCAGCCTCCCAAGTATCTGGGACTACAGGCATGTGCCACCAGGCCCAGCCGATTTTTTGTATTTTTAGTAGAGATAGGGTTTCACCATGTTGGCCAAGCTGGTCTCAAACTCCTGACCTCGGGTGATCCGCCCACCTCGGCCTCCCAGAGTGCTGGGATTACAGGCATGAGCCACTGCGCCTGATCTGTGTCTTCGTTTTCTGACACAGCTCATTCTTTTCAGTTCCATTGTAACTACAAATTAGTACTTGTCTTTTCTCACTGAAGACTAAAAACCAAAGTAGTTTTACTGGCTTCTCAAAAGTGACTTTTATTTTATTTTATTTTAAACGTCTTTTGAAGTCTAGTAAAGGGTATTATCTTTGGAGTAGTTATTGGAAACCTAATTTTAGGGGCATGAGAATGTTAGAAAACCTTAATTAAAAAGGCATCTCTTGATTTTAAATACAATTTTTTGATACATGTTTTTAATTTTGTTTTAGCACCTTCTAAGTGAGCAACACAGAAACTTTGCACAGAGTAACCAGTATCAAGTTGTTGATGATATTGTATCTAAGTTAGTTTTTGACTTTGTGGAATATGAAAAGGACACACCTAAAAAGAAAAGGTAATTAGTTTTATCAACCTAAGTTTTAAATTCTACTAGGCGGCCAGGGGTGGTGGCTCATGCCTGTAATCCCAGCACTTTGGGAGGCTGAGGCAGTTGGATCACTTGAGGTCAGGAGTTCGAGACCAGCCTAGCCAACATGGCAAAACCCCATCTCTACTAAAAAAATAAAAAATTAGCCGGGTGTGGTGGTTGCACACCTGTAATCCCAGCTACTCGGGAGGCTGAGGCAGAAGAATCACTTGAAACCCAGGAGGCAGAGGTTGCAGTGAGCCAAGATTGCACCACTGCACTCCAGCCTGGGTGACAGTGAGACTCCGTCTCAAAAATAAATAAATAAATTATACTAGAATATTAAACTATTAAACTAAAAATAAACACAGTTTTCCTGTTCTTAGAAGGAATATGTATTTTCGGGATGTAAATATGGTTAAAAACCAGTAGCTTCTTCCCTACTATCAAAGATCCTTACCTTAGACTACTTTTAGTTCCATTCTTTTTAAATTTTCTTTTTATGTAAAACTTTTCCTTTTTTAAATTTTTTGTTTTATTTTGAGACAGTCTCGCCCTATCACCCAGGCCGGAGTGCAGTTGCATAATCTTGGCTCACTGCAACCTCTGCCTCCCAGGTACAAAAGATTCTCATGCCTCAGCCTCCTGAGTAGTTGGGATTACAGGCGTGTGCCACTACACCCCACTAATTAGTCTCATTCTTGACACTGTAGTTTAGAAGGAGTTGGCTGACTTTTCCTGTAAAGAGCCAGATAGTTGATATTTTAGGTTTTGTGAGCCGTAAGATCTCTGTTGCAACTAATTAGCTTAGCTTTTTTGTACAATGGATATGACTGTATTTTGACGCAATTTTATTTGGAAAAATAGACTGACGGCTAGATTTTGCCCACAGGCTATATAGTGTATCAGCTCCTGTTGTAGAACCATAAAGTTTACCATTTACTCAGACTAAAACATTTTATTGAACTTTTAGGTAATATTAAGGAGTTTTAAGAAAACTTCCTCCACTTGCCCCTTAGGTCTTTATATTTCACTAAATATCTTTGCCTAAACCTTATGATGGGTATGTTTACTAAAGGTACTGACAGGACTTTTAAGTGTGAATACAGTACTGCTCAATGTACACCAACTGCACATTGACAAAAATTGTCCTGATTAGATTATTCCTATAAACTTAAAGGGATGGTTTCATATGGATATACCCTAGAGGTGGTGATAACTCATTAAGTTAGTCTTTATTCTTAGACTAATCTTACTTAAGACATAAAGAAGATTAGAAATGTGATAACAAGATACAGCTTCTGAAAATTAACCAGAAAGTTTTTTTACTTCAGGTAAAACAGTTCTTAAATTCCATATTTCTGTGACATTCAGAATGGTTTCATGACTGACTTAATATGGATTTGAAGAGAAGGCATATTTCCAACTATTAAAACTATGTGGGCTACTGTGCCCAGGCAGGGTGTCTCACACCTGTGGTCCCAGCACTTCGAAAGGCCGAGGCGGGCAGATCACTTGAGGCCAGGAGTTCCAGACCAGCCTAGCCAACGTGGTGAAAGCCCATCTCCACTGAAAAAAAAAAAAAATTAGGTGGTGGCACATGCCTGTAGTCCCAACTACTTAGGAGGCTGAGGCGCAAGAATCACTTGAACCCGAGAAGCAGAGGTTGCAGTGAGCTGAGATCAGGCCACTGCACTCCAGCCTGGTTGACAGAGAGACTCTGTCTCAAAAAAAAACAAAAAACAAAAAAACTATGTGGGCTACTCTAAGAACTTATAATTCCCTAAAAACTCAGTCTGCAGCAAAATTCTGAGCTAGTACTGGTTGTTCCTTAATTGTCACTTCTGTGGGCAAGTGTCCTAAACATCTTGGACTTAAAAGCCATGTTAGAGTAGTTTTTTTTTTTTTTTTTACATTTTTTTATTGCCCATTTGTTCAAAGAGAATTGTTTGTAAGTAAATGTATGAACAAGATAAAAAAGAACATTCTGGTTGAAGGGGCAGGAAAAATTGTATTATTTCTCACAGTTAATCTGTGACATGCGGAACACAAAATGTAATTGGTGAGCTATTAACTTTTTCTCTAATTGTATATTATTTAGGTTTGTCTAATACAAACTGGAATTTCAGGGATATCAAGATGCTCCATGAAGAAAATAATTTTAGGTCAAATATGTTTGAAGCTTAAAAGTTACAACTTTGTCACCTTTGAAAGTATAAAGATACTAAGTTTCTAGCTCACTTTGATATTAAATATTCTTAAATGTAAATTTAAAATATATGTTTTTGCCATAGGTTTCTCAGTAAATACTTATTCTCCACATTGCTAAGTAAAATGAAGAGTAAAATGTGCATTAATGTAAATCAAAGCACAGAAGTTAAGAAATTGTTCAGAATAATGAAAGCAAAATTAGGGGCAGGCTCAAATCCCTTTACTATCAATTTCTTTCATTTACATGATTAAAGTAATTTTAAATGTCAAAATTCAGGATATTGGTTATCTGGGAGGGAGGCAGGGAATGTAGAGGAGAAGAGAGGTACACTAGGGTTTTCAGCTATATCTGAAAAGTTGTATTACTTTAAAAACAGCTCAAGTAAATTTGGCAAAATGTTAAGATGTTTGTATTTTTGTAAAATTTCCTAAGTTAAATAGGTTTCTTAAAGATTATATAATGTTTTTACTAATTTAATTTCTAACTACTCAGGAATTTGTTTTGATAGCAATTATTTTAATATTTTTCTTCTATTTTTCCTACAAAGAATAAAATACAGTGTTGGATCCCTTTCTCCTGTTTCTGCAAGTGTCCTGAAAAAGACTGAACAAAAGGAAAAAGTGGAATTGCAACATATTTCTCAGAAAGATTGCCAGGAAGATGATACAACAGTGAAGGAGCAGAATTTCCTGTATAAAGAGACCCAGGAAACTGAAAAAAAGCTCCTGTTTATTTCAGAGCCCATCCCCCACCCTTCAAATGAATTGAGAGGGCTTAATGAGAAAATGAGTAATAAATGTTCCATGTTAAGTACAGCTGAAGATGACATAAGACAGAATTTTACACAGCTACCTCTACATAAAAACAAACAGGAATGCATTCTTGACATTTCCGAACACACATTAAGTGAAAATGACTTAGAAGAACTAAGGGTAGATCACTATAAATGTAACATACAGGCATCTGTACATGTTTCTGATTTCAGTACAGATAATAGTGGATCTCAACCAAAACAGAAGTCAGATACTGTGCTTTTTCCAGCAAAGGATCTCAAGGAAAAGGACCTTCATTCAATATTTACTCATGATTCTGGTCTGATAACAATAAACAGTTCACAAGAGCACCTAACTGTTCAGGCAAAGGCTCCATTCCATACTCCTCCTGAGGAACCCAATGAATGTGACTTCAAGAATATGGATAGTTTACCTTCTGGTAAAATACATCGAAAAGTGAAAATAATATTAGGACGAAATAGAAAAGAAAATCTGGAACCAAATGCTGAATTTGATAAAAGAACTGAATTTATTACACAAGAAGAAAACAGAATTTGTAGTTCACCGGTACAGTCTTTACTAGACTTGTTTCAGACTAGTGAAGAGAAATCAGAATTTTTGGGTTTCACAAGCTACACAGAAAAGAGTGGTATATGCAATGTTTTAGATATTTGGGAAGAGGAAAATTCAGATAATCTGTTAACAGCGTTTTTCTCGTCCCCTTCAACTTCTACATTTACTGGCTTTTAGAATTTAAAAAATGCATACTTTTCAGAAGTGATAAGGATCATATTCTTGAAATTTTTATAAATATGTATGGAAATTCTTAGGATTTTTTTACCAGCTTTGTTTACAGACCCAAATGTAAATATTAAAAATAAATATTTGCAATTTTCTACAGAATTGAATACCTGTTAAAGAAAAATTACAGAATAAACTTGTGACTGGTCTTGTTTTACATTATATATATGTTCGTAATTGTTTCCTGAGAATTACAATGAATAATAATTTGCTTTGTCACTGAAAACCACCAGTGAAGTGCAATTTGGGGAATATCAAACTTAGCATTATACATTTGGATATTCTAGTTGTATTGTAAATTTTAAAAGATTATCAGGATAACATGACCTTGCCTTGAAAAACCTAAATTTCATACAGAAAGGAAAAATACATTTCTATGCTTGAATTCTGGAAATCATCAGAAATATTGACACTTGAGGGTCACTGGTGGACCATGCTAGTATTTTGGTGCTGAGTAATTAGATTATGTATAGGGGTAACTGGAAGCCATGAAGGAAGGACTTAACCAGGCTACCAAGTGGAATATAATTTATCTGCTATTTTTAATTACTTACCTTGTAAATAACTTTAATAATATTCAAAAGTTGACTCTCCTGTGGCTCATGCCACAGGATCCCAGCACTTTGGGAGGCCGAGGCAGGCTGATCACGAGGTCAGAAGATCAAGACCATCCTGGCCAACATGGTGAAACCTTGTCTACTAAAAATACAAAAAATTAGCTGGGCATGGCGGCATGCGCCTGTAGTCCCAGCTACTCCCTCCAGAGGCTGAGAATTGCTTGAACCTGGGAAGTGCAGGTTGCAGTGAGCCAAGATTGTGCCACTGTATTCCAGACTGGGTGACAGAGTGAGACTCCATCTCAAAAAAAAAAAAGTTGACTCTACCCCCTAATTTGGTAGGAGATGAAGGAGAAAAGGATGGCATTGAATTATAGATACAGTTTTGGGATATATACAAGGATTGCCTTGATCTGGCACTTACTGATACAAGCATTTGGAGAAGAGAAAATTCAAATATAAGAAATTTCAATTTGAATCTGTGGATATAAGGCATTTGCCTTTGAGTATGTTCTTGTAGGAGTAAGACTACCACCAGTGACATTCAATTGGTTCTATTGCATAGTACATGAATCTATTGTCACTAAAAATTAGGTTACTAATCTTAATTTTTTTGAAATATATGATTCTCAGTACAGGACTAATTCATATGCTTTTCCTGCATACATTATTTTGATCATTTGGATAACATCAATGAACACTGGCTTTTTAACACCTTTGTTTTTCATACCAGTACCTGAAGTAGGCTCAATAAAAGAGTCTTTACAGTGCATACACGCAAACCCTGTTTCCATTGTAAATTATTGTTCCATTTTCTATCACAAATACATGTATGTATGTGTAAACATACGTAAGGTTTCGTAGACAACCTTTGAAAAATCTAAATGGAACTTGGAAAATTATTTGCAGGTTTATTTCCCTTTAGTTATCAGTGTTCCCCAAATTTTCCAAATAACTGAAAGGTATGTAAAGTCACTGTATGATCCTTTGACTTTAAGAGTAACAGTGTCTGGCTGGGCGCGGTGGCTCACGCCTGTAATCCCAGCACTTTGAGAGGCCAAGGCGGGCGGATCACGAGGTCAGGAGATCGAGACCATCCTGGCCAACATGATGAAACCCTGTCTCTACTAAACTACAAAAAATTCGCTGGGCATGGTGGTGCGCTCCTGTAATCCCAGCTACTTGGGAGGCTGAGGCAGGAGAATCGCTTGAACCCCGGAGGCAGAAATTGCAGCGAGCCGAGATTGTGCCATTGCACTCCAGCCTGGTGACAGAGCGAGACTCCGTCTCAAAAAAAAAAAAAAAAAAAGTGTCTTCAATTTACAGTGGTACTCTGGGCATCATTTTACATTAAGTTATACTTACTAAGGAGAAAAAGTCTGAACCCTTCAGTAAAAGTTGTTAAACTATTTGACACTGGATATTGGACTTTTGGAACACCACATGGTCTTCATAATGAGTATTCAGCTTTTTTCAAGTGCTTAAATTTCAGTTTACTTGGAATAATTTCAGTTTACTTGGGCCACCACATACAGTTTGGATTGTGCTGTGCAGCTATGCAGATGGGCACCCAGCCAGTGAGATGAAGGCAGGTTATTTGCAGCAAGTAGTGTGTCCTGGCAATGAGGTGCATCTACCTAGAGGTAGGGGTAGTTTTTCCTATTTTTTACCAAGGCACAGCCAAGGTAGTGTTTACCCAGAAGGTTCTTTGCCTTTTTGTTTTTGTTTGTTGTGTGTGTGGTTTTTCTTTTTTTTTCTTTTTTTTTTTTTTTATTGTTTTTGTTGTTGTTGTTTTGATACTAGGTCTCTCTTGTCCAGGCCTGGTTACCATGGTGCAGTCAGCTCACTGTGGCCTCAGACTCCTGGGCTTAGCTGGGCACTGGCTCATACCTGTAATCCCAGTACTTTGGGAAGCTGAGATAGGAGGATCACTTGTGATCAGGAGTTCAAGGTCAGCCTGGGCAGCATAGCTAAACTTCGTTTTTACAAAAATATATATACACATACATATACATATATATATATGTCTATATAATATATATGTATAATATATATATTTGTCTATACATATATAGACAAAAGTCTATAAAAAGTCATACCACGAGGCCCTCATGGTATGACTTTTGGGTTCCCACAGGAGGCAGACTGAGATGGAATTTGGTATGCAGATGTTTTCTAAGGGGTGCCTTTGGACACCAGTTGACCCCACAGGCAGCTTTTCAAGAGTTGCTAGGTGAAGATGACCAATAAGTCATTTGAGTATGGGTCACTCTAGGAAGGAGCATGACTGTGGGCAACGAGGCTCCTCAGCTGACACAATCCCTGAAGGAGCTGACAGTAGAAGTTGAAAGCTGTTTACTGTCAGTACTCCCAGAAGCTGGGGCAACAAGTTACTGAAGAGGGATCAGGATCAATTACCCCACATAGTGATTCTGCCTGTTGGGTTATTGGCACAAGGAACTCAAAACGGCCGGGTGGTGGTCGCAGCTTATAATTCAACAGGAGTCGCTGAGGTAGGAAACACATTCAAGAGGGTCAAATAAGTGACGGCAAGCAGGTCTACTCCTGTTCCACTCATGGGTTGCCAGACTTATTTTGTCGGGGGCATAGCACCATAAAAACATCTTGAACTCCAACTGTATACTGCATCTTAAATGACAGCCTATTCTCAAGAATATCACCTCCATGCTGATGCTAATTAACAGGCCCTTCCAATACTCTATCAGGAAGCTTCTGGTTGATTCAATATATAATAAGGCTTGTGGATTGCATGATCATGGGCCTACCCCCATGCCTCCTTTGCTGTAAAGGACATCCCCTGGTCTGATACGAAGTTATATATGATGCCACGCCAGTGAAACTCTAAGTCTTAAAAATGCAATGTGAACGACAACAACAACAAAAAGACCTGGCATGTCTATTACTGTGTCCAGTATAATCGACTAGCCACTTCATGCCTAGTTTCTGGCAGTTTGGGCATCTGGCAGTGACAAAAACACTAGCTCGGCTTTGGCGAATAGGAACCTATGCTATGGAGCCCAGAAATAACTTCCATTACTGCCCACCATGACCGCTTTACTCATATGCCCATTGTGCCAGCATCAGGGTAGTATTAACATGCAGTATGAGGAGCCCACACTTCATGCCCACTCCCATATGCCACATGCCTCTATACTTTCTACTGAGTCTTCCAATCTTTCTCTTTCCAGGCCCCTTAGTAGCCAGTGCAAATTATTTCTCACTCCCCAAGACTGTACATATATGCTAAGCTCAGCCTACTTCTCTTTTCACACAAAAGCAATGACCAGGTACCCCACTTGAAATTCTGCCCATTGGCAAGATTTTTCCCTTGTGACTGGCTTTCAATGCCACCACTGAGTAGCCATATGGCAGTTGCCATCTATTTTCATCTTGTAGCCACGGAAGCAACCCATCCATTAACTAAATTTGGGCTTTCCTCGTTTTTCAGCTGGTCTTAAGGGATGACCCATACATCTGTAGGTGTGACCTGAGGGAGAGGCATTAATACAACAATGAATGACATGGGGATCTCAGCCGCCTGTTTATGCAACTTCCTTGAGCTCTCTGGTCCTGCTCTTGCTCAATCCTAAATAAACCAATTCTATTTTACAATGGATTGTTGCTGCATCTGCCTGGTGCTATGACTTGGTAGGTCTTATAAAACCCCAGTTCATGATGGGTAGTGTTGACCACATGGTGGGTTTCGCCTCATGGTCAGGTGTTCCATCTCATACATCATCATCTCATACAACAAAGTATTTTTGCTTTTCAAAAAGTGTGTGACTCTCCATTAAAGAGGGACTGGCCTTACTCTAAAATCCCTTATTTCTGGGCTGTGATTCCTTTACTGTGGGCAGGGAAGTTGCCATAAATTCCTCACAGCATCTTTTCCTACCGCTAAATCCAGAACCTTTGAACCTGCCTGATCATATGGCTGCAGAGCACTTTTCTGCTTGGAAGCTCCACTCACAGTTGGAAGCCTTTCCTGCCACTGGGTTGAAGCAGTATTCCCAGTTGGAACTGACTGCCTTCAGAACCTGAAGAGGCCTAGCAGACATTATGCTTCCTTCATGTTTGGAAGGTTCAGTAGGCAATAATTTGTCTTTTACTTTGGATAGGATTTCCCAGCATGTCCCTGACCAGTGGAACTCTGAAAATGTTACTGATATAACAGGTTCCTGAATTTCTCACCCTATGGAGAACATGTGTCTTATCAAAGTTTCCAGTGTACTAGCAACTTCTTCCTCATCTGATTTGATAAATATATCATCAATATAAAGGGTTAATGTGATAATCTCCATGGCATCCAGATGGTCTAGATTGTTCAAATTATAACAAAGGACAAGAAAGTTTAAATAGCCCTGTGGTAAGACTATAAGTGTATACTGTAATCTTTTCCCTGTGAATACGAACTGTTTCTGATCCCTCTTTTTTCTGTTAGGGATGGAAAATTATGCATCTGCACAACCAATGGCTGCACATCATGCACCTGGTGCCATATTCATTTGCAACAGAAAATATATTGTATCTGGCACTGCAACTGAAATTGAGACTACTACTTAGTGCAGCTTCTGGTGGTCTACTCATTTTTTATAATCCATATGCATATAGTGGGAATCAACCATTCCTGTATCTTTTAAACATTTAACAGTGGCACTAATTTCCTCCACCAACACCACCCAGTTAAGATATTGTTTTTGATTTATTATTCTGGCTAGAATAATAAATTCTGGCAGTTTAGGGTAGAAGCAGTTTCAAGGTTCCCACTTGGTCTTTTCCAATATATAGGTCTTACTTTGTAGACCAGGGGCACAGTATGAGGGAGTGTATGAAGTAATAAGTATTTCTCTTCTAATAATATATTCAGGGACTGGACAAATGACACATTATCAGACAAATAACTCACTATCAGCCAAACCTTAGCCAGGACTCCATTTATTACATGGCTTTCATATGCCCCCTCTACAATAGGTGCTTTGGGTCCCAGGTATCAATGTCAATTCAGACCTTGTGTCTAACAAATATCTGAGTAGTCCCCTTTTCCCAGTGCACAGTTACCCAAGTAAATGGAGATTGGTACCTTTTGGAAAGGACTAGGAAATAATTACCATGTGCAGTTAAAATGTGTTGCAGGGTCTTTCTCCTGGGGTCATGGCCTGTTCTCTAGTCAGTGGTTTCAACGTTGAAAAATTAACTTAAATCTGGAAACAGAACAAGAGATCATTACTTTTTACTGGAGCAATTGCCCTTAGCCTCCTGAGGCTGACTCATGGTACATATTGAATGATGACCTTATTGGCTATCCATCCGTTTTGCTCCTAAAGATGCTAAGTTCTAATAACCAACTCCATAACCTTCAGAGGATTCAGGCCTCCTCTGGCTGCCCCTTCGACATTGCCACTTATTATGATAATTATGTGCACTTACCTTCTGATACTTGAATGGCACCATCTGGTCTTTATTGTTTCAGGTCTTATCAACCTCACTGCTATTAGTGAGCCTAGTTCTATAATGGCCTTACCTGCCATCGGTTCTGGCACACCGAGGAGAGCCACAACTGCATATTTTAGTACTATTGTTGGCCTTCCTTCTAGGGCATTCTTTATGGCCTTGGTAAGTAGCATACCATCAGGAACTTTCCATGGAATATACTGACCTGGTGGGTTTTTGGATCTTTTTTTTTTTTTTTTTTGGAGATGGAGTTTTGTGCTGTCACCTGGGCTGGAGTGCTGTGGTGCAACCTTGGCTCACTGCAACCTCTGCCTCCCAGGTTCAAGCGATTCTCCTGCCTCAGCCTCCCGAGTAGCTGGGATTACAGGCACCCACCACCATACTTGGCTAATTTTTGTATTTTAGTAGAGATGGATTTCGCCATGTTGGCCAGGCTAGTCTGGAACTCCTGACTTCAAGTGATCTGCCTGCCTTGGCCTCCCAAAATGCTGGGATTACAGGTGTGAGCCACCGCGTCCAGTCCCCAGTCTTAATACAGTATATTCACTCAAATATGTCCATCACTCTTTCTCCACCATCTGTCATGGAAATGTGGCAGTTTTATTTCTCTGAGCATGAGCCATCAATTCTAATATACTGTCAACACGTTCACAGTATATCCTGAGATTCTTCTCAGGGTGTTAAATCCTGTGTCTTTGTAGTCCTCCCAAATCAGTTACTTTCCTTTATCTAACTTGTGTGCAAATCCCCTTGATCAAGTATCCTCAAAATTTAGTACCACATTCACCAAAGTAGATATATTCTGAGTCATAAAAGGAAGTTTACAACACTTAAAAGAATAGAAATAATAAAAAATATATTCTCAGACCACAGTGGAATTAAACTAGAAACAAGTAATAGATATCTAGAAAGCCCCAGGTAGTTATAAATAAAATGGCACACTTCTAAATAACACATGAGTCAAAGACATAGTCTGAAGAAAAATTAAAAATAATTTGCAGTAAATACGTAACAAAATTTTTGGAATGTAGCTAAAGCAAAGTTTGAAGGAAATTTATAGCATTATATGCTTACTTTATTTTTTATCTTTTATCTTTTTAATTTTTTTTTTGAGATGGAGTTTCACTCTTGTTGCCCAGATTGGAGTGCAATGGCATGATCTCAGCTCACTGCAACCTCCACCTCCTGGATTCAAGCGATTCTCTTGCCTCAGCCTCCCAAGTAGCTGGGATTACAGGCATGCACCACCACACCTGGCTAATTTTGTATTTTTAGTAGAGAGGGGGTTTCACCATGTTGGTCAGACTGGTCTCGAACTCCTGACCCCAGATGATCCACCTGCCTTGGCCTTCCAAAGTGCTGGGACTACAGGCGTGAACCACCATGCCCGCCTCTTTAATGTTATTTATTTGAGACAGGGTCTCACTCTGTCACTCAGGCTGAGTGCAGTGGTACAATCATGGCTCACCACAGCCTTGACCTACTGGTCTCAGGTGATCATCTCACCTCAGCCTCCTAACTAGCTAGGACTACAGGTGCCCACCACCACACACGGCTAATTTTTGTATTTTTTGTAGAGGTGGGGTTTCACCATATTGTCCAGGCTGGTCTTGAGCTCCTGGGCTCAAGCAATCCACCTGCCTCAGCCTCTCAAACTGCTAGGATTACAGGCATGAGCCACCATGCCTGGACTATATGCCTATATTAGAAAAGAAGAAAGATCTAAATAATATAAGATGAAGGTCTTTGAGTGGACATAAGTTTTTGACTCATCAGAGTAAATACCGAGGGGCATGATTGTTGTATCATATGGTTAAAGTATGTTTAGTTTTGCAAGAAACTGCCAAACTGTCTTCCAAGGTTGTTGTACTGTTTTACATTCCCACTAGCAATGAGTTGGAGTTCCTGTTACTTCACATTCTTACCAGAATTTGGTTTTGCTGTTTCGGATTTTAGCCATTCTAATGTGTGTAGTGGTATCTGATTGTTGTTTTAATTTGCATTCCCTAATGACATAAGATGTTGAACATCTTTTCATGTTTATTTGCTGCGTGTATACCTTATTTGGTGACGTGTCTGTTCAGATTTTTTGTCCATTTTAAAAATTGTATTGTTTTCTTATTGTTGAGTTTGAGGAGTTCTTTGTATATTTTGGATACCAGACCTTTTTCAGATGCAAATGTTTTCTTCCAGTCTATGGCTTGTCTTTTCATTCTTTTAACGATGTCTTTCGCATGGCAGAAGTTTTTAATTTTAATGAAGTCAAACATCAGTATTTTCTTTTGTGGATCATGTTCTTGGTATTGTGTCTAAAAAATCACCACCAAACTCAAAGCCACCTAGATTTTCTTCTATGTTATTGTCTAGGAGTTTTATAGTTTTGTGTTTACACTTAGGTCCATGGTCCATTTTGAGTTAAAGTTTGTGGAAGATGTAAGGTCTATGTCTATATTAATTTTTTTGCATGAAGATGTCCAGTTGTTCCAGCACCCCTTGCTGAAAAGACTATCCTTTCTTACAATCTTGAATAGGAGGGTGCGAGTAGACACCCTTGGCTTGTTCCTGATCTTAACATAAAATTATCTAGCATCTCACCATTAAGTATGATGTTAGCTTACAGCTACAGCATTTTGTAGATGTTCTTTTTCAAGTTGAGGAATCTCTCCTTCATTTCTAGTTGCTGAGGGTTTTTTTTTTTTTTTATCATGAATTGTGGTTGGATTTTGTCAAATGCTTTTTCTGATTGATATGATCATATTATCTTTCTTCTTTAGCCTGTTGATGTGATGGATTATATTAATGGGAATTAAAATGTTGTACCAAATTTCCCTACCTAGAATAAATCCTTCTTGGTACATGTGACTAACACTCTTTTCTTACATTTTTGGGTACAATTTGCTAATATGTCATTGAAGAGTTTGCATCTATGTTGATGAGACATATTGTCTGTAGTTTTCCTCTGTTTTTGGTGTTAGGGTAATGCTGGTCACATAGAATGAGTTAGGATATATTCTCTTGGCTTCTATTTCCTGGAAGAGGTTACAAAGAATTTGGTATAATTTATTCTTAAAAATATTGGTAGAATTCACTAGTGAAACAACCTGGGCCTGGTGCTTTTCGTTTTGGAAAGTTATAAATTATTTATTTATTTATTTACTTTTTGAGACGGAGTTTCACTCTTGTCGCCCAGGCTGGAGTCCAGTGGCATGATCTCGGCTCACTGCAACCTCCGTCTCCCGGGTTCAAGTGATTCTCCTGCCTCAGCCTCCCAAGTAGCTGGGATTACAGGTGCCCATCGCCATGCATGGCTAATTTTTGTATTTTTAGTAGAGAAAGGGTTTCACCATATTGGCCAGGCTGATCTCAAACTCCTGACCTCAAGTGATCTTCCTGTTTCAGCCTCCCAAAGTGCTGGTATTACAGGCATGAACCACTGTGCCCGGCCTGATTCAATTTATTTAATAGACATAGGCCTATTTCGATTATCTATTTCTCCTTGTGTAAGCTTTGGTATAGTATGTCTTTCAAGGAATCAGTCCATTTCAGCTAGGTTATCAAATTTGGAGACTTAATGTTGTTTATGATAGTTCTTTATTATCCTTTTAAAGTCAATGGGATCAATAGTCATAGCTTGTCTTTCATTTCTGATATTAATAATTTGTGTCTTCTCTTTCTTTTCTTTGTTGACGTGGCTGGAAGTTTGGCAATTTTATTGATATTTTCCAAAACTAGTTGTTGGTTTTATTGATTTTCTCTTTTGATTTCCTATTTTCAATTTAATTGATTTCTGTTCTAATTTTGGTTATTTTTTTCTGCTGCTTACTTGGAATTTAATTTGCCCTTCTTTTTCTAGTTCCCTAAGGTAAACACATATTATTTATTTTAAATATTTATTGTTTTCTAATATATGCATTCAATGCTATACATTTCCCTCTAAGTACTCACTGCACCTCCAAAATTCTGGTAAGTTGTATTTTCATTTTGATTTAGTTCAAAATATTTTAACATTTCTCTTGAGATTTCTTCTCTAACCCATATGTTAATTAAAAGTGTGTTGATAATATCCAAGTATTTTTGAGGTTTTCCAGCTATCATTCTGTTATTGATTTGTAGTTTAATTCAATTGTATAGAAATACAGCCATGTGCCGCATAATGATGTTTCACTCAATGATGAACCACATATATGATGGTAATCCCATAAAATTATAATAGAGCTGAAAAATTCCTATCATCTACTGACATCATAGCTGCCATAATTTTGTAGCACAATTACTTAAATTTTTAATGTTTAGTGCAGCCTAAGTGTACAGTGTTTATAAAGTCTACAGTAGTACATAATAATGTCCTAGGCCTTCACATTCACTCACCACTCACTCACTGACTCACCCAGAGCAACTTTGAGTCCTGTAACCTCCATTCATAGTAAGTACCCTATATAGGTGTACCATTTTTTATCTTTCACATTGTATTTTTACTGTACCATTTCTATGTTTAGATACATAAATATTTACCAATGTATTATAACTGCCTACAGTATTCAGTACAATAACATGATAAACAGGTTTACAGCCTAGGAGCAATAGGCTATACCATGTAGCCTAGGTGTGTAGTAGGCTATACCATCTAGGTTTGTGTAAGTACACTCTATGATATTGTTACATTAATGATGTTGCCTAAGGGTATATTCCTCAGAATGTATCCCCATCATTAAGCAATGCATGACAAGAGATAAAGATCTATACATGAAATAGGCAAGACGTGGCCTGTAGGACACTACTTCAAACATACTCCAAGGAAACTATTTCCCTATTCTCAACCCCCACCCCCACACACATCTCAGAGAAACTGTATTTCCTTTAAACATGTTATCTTTTCAGCATCTTTGCTTTTTACCATTATCATATCTTAGTATATTTATGGATTGCTGCTAGTTCTTAGCAATACAGAAAATAAAAAGTATCTTTTATGTGCAAGATTATACTTAAAAACTTATTTGTTACAAACATAATTTAATTTGTTTTGCTGGCTTAGAAATTATAAAGGCCATAACATTTTAGCTTTTTATACAAACACATTTATATGCATTCATTCTTTCTGGCCAGAATATACATTCATATTTCAAATAGGATTTTTTTAAGTTTCTAAGAACATTTTTTAAACAATGAAAACTTCATATTTTCAGGAGAAGGAAGAGACTCAGTGACATTAATTAGGGAAGAACATTAACCTTCAGCCTCTTATATTGCAATTTCATTTTTGAATTGCCCAACTGATGCCACTGCAAATTCTGCGAGACAGGCAAAAAACTGAGTTCCCAAAGTGTGAGAGGGGAAAACCTGCCTCCGAACACATATCCCTACTGGCGAATATGAAAATCCAGATTACGGAAGAAAGATTTAACCTTATCTAGAGCTGAAACACATTTAGAGAGCTGTGTAAAATATAAAAGTAGAAGCAGCAGCAAGAGCCTTATAGGCACACCCAGTCTCCAGCTTGAGCCCACGGAAACTATCCCTAACTGGATTTTGCAGGGGCCCTCAGGCAAGGAAGACAGCAAAATTAGGGAGGGGTCATAGGGTGAAAGATGCTTCCAGTGAAATTCTGTAATAATTTCAAATGGGTATGAACTATCTTGAACAGAATCCGGGGGGTGAATGGGGAACTGCTGCAGATACAAGTGCAGGAGGCTTCACCAACATTGTGAGCAGACGGAGAGGAGCAAGGCCTAAAAGTCAAGTTTGCTTTCTCACCTGGGAAGCTTACAGCATGGGGAAAGGGCTGAGTTCCATGCACAGGCTTCCTGCATCTAACTAAACTTGGCCCTGTTAGCAGGACACCGCAGAGGCAAGACCAGCCTTGCCAACAACGTGAGAGTTGGGTGAGGTCTTTTGCTACTGGCTATCCCCTACTTCCCTGGTGAACCATATGGCACAGCCGAGGCAGCCATAATCTCCTCTGGAACATAACCCCATCGGTCTGAGAACCACACCCCCATCCCCACAGTGGCCATGGCAAGCACCACCTAAGGAGAGTCTGAGCTCAGACCCGCCTAACCCTGCCTCCACCTGATGATATTTCTCTACCTGCCCTGGTAGCCACACACAAAAGACAAAAACTTGTGGAAGCTTTATGGCCCTGCCCATTGCCAGAGAAACCAGAACACTTACCCTGGTCAACTTACGGCAAGCTTATATTCCCCTACAACTACCGCAGCTGGTGCTCTCTTGAAAGCATCACCTCTTGGTTGGAGGCCAATCAACTCAGGCCATTACAGCAACTCATGACAAAATAACCCTGCTCCCAAGAAGGAGAACACAACAGCTAATACCACTGCCTGAAACATCCTGGCTAACCAGAGGTCCTGAGTCCATCCACGTGACAACTTTACTACTAGAATAACCAGCATTCAAGAAAGCCAGTACACTAAACATACCTACAGCCAAAGATTCTCACAGAGTCACTTTCACTCCCCGCCACCTCCACCAGAGTAGGTGCTGATATCCACAGCTGGGAGAGCCAAAGATGGATGACATCACAGGAGTCTTTGCAGACATTCCACAGCAGCAGCTCAGAGCCTGGTAGCCCCGCCGAGTGGCTAGACCCAGAAGAGCAATAACAATCACTGCAGTTTAGCTCTCAGGAAACCTCATCCCAAGGGGAAGGGGAGAGCACTACGTCAAGGGATCATTCCATGAGACAAAAGAATCTGAACAGCAGCCCTTGAGTTCCAGATTTTTCCACTGAAATAGTATACCCAAATGAGAGGGAACCAGAAAAGTAATTCTGGTAATATGACAAAACAGGGTTCTATATCACCCCTAAAATATCACACTTGCTCCCCAGTAATGGATCCAAACCAAGAAGAAATCTCTGAATTGTCAGGTAAAGAATTCAGAAGGTTGATCATTAAGCTACTCAAGGAGACACCAGAGAAAGGTGAAAACCAACTTAAAGAAATTTAAAAACAATACAAGATATGGATGAAAAATGCTCCAGAGAAATAGATATCATAAAGAAAAAACAACCACAACTTCTGGAAATGAAAGACACACTTACAAAATACACTGGAAAGTTTCAACAATAGACTAGAACAAGTAGAAGAAAAAACTTCACAGCTTGAAGACAAGGCTTTTGAATTAATCAAATCAGACAAAGACAAAGAAAAAAGAATTTAAAAAATTAACAAAGCCGCCAAGAAATTTGGGATTATGTTAAATGACCAAGAATAATTGGTGTTCCTGAGGAAGAATAGAATCTAAATGTTTGGAAAATTTATTTGAGGGAATAATCAGGGAAAACTTCCCTGGCCTCACTAGAGATCTAAACATCCAAATAAAGAAGCTCAAAGAACACCTGGGAAATTCATCACAAAAAGATCATTGCCTAGGCACATACCGTCAGGTTATCTGAAGTCAAGCTAAAGGAAAGAATCTTAAGAGCTATGAGGCAAAAGCATCAGGTAACCTACAAAGGAAAACCTATCAGATTAACAGCTGAAACCTTACAAGCCAGAAGGGATTTGGGTCCTATCTTTAGCCTCTTTAAACAAAATAATTGTCAGTCAAGAATTTTGTATCTGGCGGGGTGCGGTGGCTCACTCCTGTAATCCCAGCACTTTGGGAGGCCGAAGCAGGCAGATCACCTGAAGTCAGGAGTTCAAGACCAGCCTGGGCAACATGGTGAAACCCTGTCTCTATTAAAAATACAAAAAAAAAAAAAATTAGCCGGGTGTTGTGCACACCTGTAATCCCAGCTACTCAGGAGGCTGAGACAGGAGAATCACTTGAACCCAGGAGGTGGAGGTTGCAGTGAGCTGAGATCATGCCACTGCACTCCAGCCTGGGCAACAGAGCCACCAGACTCCGTCTCAAAGGCAAAAAAAAAGAAAGAATTTTGTATCCAACAAAACTAATCTTCATAAATGCAGGAGAGATAAAGTCTTTTTCAGACAAACAAATGATGAGAGAATCTGCCATTTCCAAGCCAGCACTACAAGAAATGGTAGAAGGAACTCTAAATCTTGAAACAAATCTTTGAAATACACCAAAATAGAACCTTCTGAAAGCATAAATCTCACAGGGCCTGTGAAACAATACCACAGTGAAAAATAACCAGGTATTTAGGCAACAACTAGCATGATAAACAGAACAATACCTCACCTCACAATACTAATGTTAAATGTAAATGGCCTAAATGTTCCACTTAAATAATACAGAATGGCAGAATGGATAAAAATTCACTAACCAAGTAAGTGCTGTCTTCAGGAGACTCAACTGACACATAAAGACTCACATAAACTTAAGGGAAAGGGACAGAAAAAGATATTCCATGCAAATGGAAACCAAAAGCAAGCAGGAATAGCTATTCTGGTATCAGTCAAAACAGACTTTAAAACAACAGTTAAAAAAAAAAAAGACAAAGAGGGACATTATATAATGATGAAAGGATCATTCCAACAGAAAATTAGCACAATCCTAAATATATATGCACCTAACACTGGAGATCTCAAATTCATAAGACAATTACTACTAGACCTACGAAATGAGATAGCAACACAATAATGGTGGGTACTTCAATACGCCACTGACAGTACTAGACAGTTCATCAAGACAGAAAGTCAACAAAGAAACAATAGACTTAAACTACGCCCTAAAACAAATGGACTTAACAGATATTTACAGAACATTCTACCCAACAACTGCAGAATATACGTTCTATTTTTTCTTTCTTTTTTTTTTTTTTTTGAGACGGCGTCTCACTCTGTTGCTTAGGCTGGACTGCAGTGGCACAAGCTCAGCTCACTGCAACCTCTGCTTCCTGGGTTCAAGCGATTCTCCTGCCTTAGCCTCCTGAGTAACTGGGACTACAGGCATGTGCCACTACACCTGGCTATTTTTGTATTTTTAGTAGAGACTCCTGACCTCAGGTGAACCTCCCGCTTTGGCTGGGATTACAGGCATGAGCCACCACACCCAGCCAAGAATATACTTTCTATTCATCAGCACATGGAACATTCTCCAAGACAGAACATATGGAGGGACCACAAATAGGTCACAAAACAAGTCTCAGTAAATTTAAGAAAATTGAAATTACAACAATTATCCTCTTAGATCACAGTAGAATAAAACTGTAAATCAACTACAGAAGGAACCCTTAAAACTATACAAATAAAAGAAAATTAAATAATCTGCTCTTGAATGATCTTTGAGTCAACAATGAGATCAAGATGGAAATAAAAAATTATTTGAACTGAACAATAATAGTGACATAACTTATCAAAACCTCTGGGATGCAGCAAAAAGTGGTGCTAAGAGGAAAGTTCACAGCATTAAATGCCTACATCAAAAAGTCTGAAAGAGCACCAATTGACAATCTAAGGTCACATCTCAAAGAACTAGAGAAATAAGAAAAAACTAAACTCAAACCCAGCAGAAAAAAGAAATAACCAAGATCAGAGCACAACTAAATGAAATTAAACAAAAAAATACAAAAGATAAATGAAACAAAAAGCTTGTTCTTTGAAAAGATAAACAAAACTGATAGACCATTAGCGAGATTAACCAAGAAGAGAGAAGATCCAAATAAGCTCAATTAGAAATGAAATGGGAGATATTACAACTGATATCACAGAAATACAAAAGATCATTCAAGGCTGCTATGAATACCTTCACATGCACAAACTGGAAAATCTAGAGGAGATGGATAGTCCTGGAAATATACAACCTTACTAGATTAAATCAGGAAGAAATAGAAACTCTGAACAGACCAACAACAAGTAGTGAGATTGAAACAGTAATTTTTAAAAATAGCCAACGAAAAAAGATCCAGGACCAGGTGGATTCACAGCTGAATTCTATCAGACATTCAAAGAAGAAATGGTACCAATCGGCTGGCTGCAGTGGCTCATGCCTGTAATCCCAACACTTTGAGAGGCCGAGGCGAGCGGATCATGAGGTCAGGAGTTTCAGACTAGCCTAGCCAGCATGGTGAAACCCCATCTCTACTAAAAATACAAAAAAATTAGGCAGGACATGGTGGCTCACGCCTGTAATCCCAGCACTTTGGGAGGCTGAGGTGGGCGGCCAACATGGTGAAAGTCCGTCTCTAAAATACAAAAACTTAGCTGGGCATGGTGGCACATCCCTGTGGTCCTGCCTACTCGAGAGGCTGAGGCAGGAGAATTGCTTGAATCTGGTAGGCGGAGGTTGCAGGAAGCTGAGATCACACCACTGCACTCCAGTTTGGGCGACAGAGCAAGACTGTCTCAAAAAAATTATCTAAAATAAAAAAAGAAATGGTACCAATCTTACTGAAACGATTTCAAAAAAGAAAGAAAGAGGGAATCCTCCCTACATCATTCTTTATGCCAGTATCACCCTAATACCAAAACCAGGGAAGGACATAACAAAAAAAGAAAACTACAGACCAGACATACCAAAAAAAGAAAATTACAGACAGAGAGGAAAGCAGTAATTCACAAAAGAAATACTTGCCGTTCTTTTATTTCATTGATATTCTATTTTGGTAACTCATAAAATTTAAAATGTAGTTTTCCTTAAGTCTTTAGGCTTAGTTCACAATCTTACTTTTTGTTAAAATAAAAATAAGATCATTACTTTCACTGTTCTTTGATTAATATTCAGTTAATTCATAAATTTGACAGAATAATTTTACCCAACATTAAACACTCTATATATAACTGAGGAAAAAACTTTATAATTTATACTTGTTTTCTCAGATATATCAAGCACCTAACAAGTTAGACTTACAAATTTGACAAAAGATATCTTCTTAACCTCTGCTAACATGTGAATGTTTTTGTCCCCCTGCCTCCAAATTCCTATGTTGAGGCCCTAATGTGGTGGTATTTGAAGGTAGGGCCTTTGGAAAGTAATTAGGTCATGAGGGTCTAGCCTATATGATGGAATTAGTGTCTTTATAAGAATAGGGAGAGAACTAGCACTCTGGGCCATGTGAGAATACAGCAAGAAGGTTGCTGTCCACAAGCTAGGAGTTGGTCCTCACCAGATACTAGATTTGCCACGGCCTTCAATTTGTACTTCCCAGCCTCCAGAACTATAAGAAACAATGTTTATTGTTTAAGTAACTGAGTCTATGATATTTTTGACATGGTAGCCTGAGCTAAGACAGCCTCCTAAAGAAAAAAAAAACCTATTTTAATTTTTATTACATCAAGATGATGTGTTTGGCCTATGCAATTATTTTAAACATTTCAAACATCTTAAAAAATTAAAAATTAGAGTATATGTATAGCAGCACGATCATTATAAAATCTGATCAAGTTCATTTTCCAACGAAGAGAACTGAGTAAAGAATTTGGCTCCATCATATAGCAAAGGAAAGTGAAGAACTTTTCCAGGTCCTAGGGTTCTAATTCTCTTTGACTGTAACTATCACAGAACGTACTGCATTAAAGTCTGTTGTATACTACTGAAATCTTGTTCAGGCTACAATTTCCTGAACAATTCTTAACTGTTTCGCTCATTTTGAAGATTTGGGGAATTTTTTTTGTAATGACAGTAAGCTCAATGAAATTTATTTACCAAAAATATGATAGAATGTCCTCTTAGGCAAGAATTTAGGACAAGGAAGAAAAAAGTTCCTCTCTATTGTTTGCTTGTGAAACAATATCTAAGCTACGTCATTAATTCTGGACACCACACTTTAGCTGGGACATTGACACACTACAGTATATTTTGAGATCATATTGATGATGAAGGAACCTGAAGCCATGTCACATGAGGCAGGGGTTAAAAAGAAAATAGGGAATGAGTAAAACGCCTCCAAAGAGCATCATGTAGAAAATTTTTTGTTATGTTTTACCAAACCAGAATCAGGATCAAGGTGAAGGTTACACAAACCCAGATTTCAACCAGGGAGATATTGTGGAAAGAAACTCAGACCTGAAAGCAGGAGATTTAGGTCCTAGGGTACTTTATTACTCGCCATGGGGTCTGGGGGCAAGTCGTTTAAACTCTGGAACCCAGTGCTGTCTTTCCAATAGAACTTTTCTGCATGATAGAAATGTTCTACATCTTAGCTGTCCAATATAGTAGTTACTAGCTACAGGTTCGGCACTTGAAATGCAGCTAGTTTGGTTGAGGATCTGAATTTTAAATTAAATTAAATTAAATTAAAATAGCCACAAGTAGAATTCTGAGAGATTAGTATGGTGGATAGGAGACAGGACTAGCGTGTAGCTCCCGCTCAGACAGACACAACAGTGTGTGGAGACTCACATTGTGAACTTTTGCTCCAAGAACTACCACAGGAACATACCAGGAAAGCCAAGAGAATCCACAGACCTTTTGAAGGAACTGGATCACTGCTGCAGGCTCCCTGAGACACTGAAAAACTGTGAGTCCGCTTGCTTTCTCAACAGGGAGTCTTGTGGTCTGGGCAAGTTGTCAGCCCTGGTCACTGGCGGCCTGGAAATAGACAGTGCTGTTGTGGGGCCTGGTGGGAGTGAAACCAGCCTTTAGGACTGCAGGCTGTGTGGGAGCAGGGTGAGGTCTGTGATTGCTGGTTTTCCCCTACTTCCCCGGTGACCTGTATGACTCAGCAGAGGCAGCCAGAATCCCCCTGGTAATATAACTTTATGGACTGGGAACCACACCCCCAATACCCCACAGCAGCCACAGCAAGCCCCAACCAAGAAGAGACTGAGCTCAGACATGCCTATCCTTGCACCTACCTGGTGGTCTTTCTCTACCCTCCCTGGCAGCTAAAGACAAAGGTCATAATCTCTTGAGAGCATGATGGCCCTGCCCACTGCCTGTGAAACCTGAATACTTAACCAGGTGTCCCTAGGGCAAAGTTTGCATCTTCCCTGTAGGACTGCAGCTGATGTGCTCTTGAAAGCGCCACCTCCTGGCTCGAGGCCAACCAACACAAAACCAGTACACTAAACAAAAACACAACCAAGGACCCTCACAGGGTCCACTTCACTCCCCTGCTACCTCCACCAAAGCAAGTGCTGGTATCCATGGCTGCAAGACCTGAAGCTGGATCACATCACAGGACTCTTTGCAGACACTCCCCAGTACCAGCCTGGAGCCTGGGAGCTCTGCAGGGTGGCTAGACCCAGACGGACAAAAACAATCACTACAGTTCAGCTCTCAGGAAGCCCCATTCCTAGGGGAAGGGGGAGAACACCACATCAAGGGAGCACAGTGTGGGACAAAATATTCTGAACAGCAGCCCTTGAACCTAAGAGCTTCCCTCTGACATAGTCTGCCCAAATGAGAAGGACCAGGAAAACAATTCTGGTAATATGAAAAAACCAGGTTCTTTAACATTCCCAGAAAATCATACCAGCTCACCAGCAATGGATCCAAAATGAGATGAAATCTCTGAATTGACAGAAAGAGTTTAGAAGGATGATTATTAAGCTAATCAAGGAGGCATCTGAGAAAGGTGAAGTCCCACTTAAAGAAAAAAAAAAAAACATGATACAGGATATAAAGGAAAATTCTTCAGTGAAATAGCATAAATAAAAAATAATCACAACTTTTGGAAATCAAGGACACACTTAGAGAAATGCAAAATGCACTGGAATGTCTCATCAATAGAATCAAACAAGCAGAAGAAAGAACTTCAGAGCTTGAAGATAAGGCTTTCAAATTAACCCAATCCATCAAAGACAAAGAAAAAAGAATTTTAAAAAATGAGCAAAGACTCCAAGAAGTTTGGGACTATGTTAAATGTCCAAACTTAAGAATAATTGGTGTTCACAAGGAAGAAGAGAAATCTAAAAGCTTGGAAAATATATTTGAGGGAATAATCAATAAAAGTGTCCCTGGCCTTGCTAGAGATCTCGACATCCAAATACAAGAAGCTCAAAGAACATCTGGGAAACTCGTCACAAAAAGATAATTTCCTAGGCACATGGTCACCAGTTTATCTAAAGTCAAGATGAAGGAAAGAATCTTAAGAACTGAGGCAAAAGCATCAGGTAATATAAAGGAAAACCTATCAGATTAACAGCAGATTTCTCATCAGAAACCTTACAAGCTAGAAGGGACTGGGGTCCCATTTTTAGCCTTCTTAAAAAAAATTATCAGCCAGGCGTGGTGGCTCACGCCTGTAATCCCAGCACTTTGGGAGGCTGAGGTGGGTGGGTCATGAGGTCAGGAGTTCGAGACCAGCCTGACCAACATGGTGAAACCCCGTCTCTACTAAAAATACAAAAATTAGCCAGGCCTGGTGGCACGAGCCTGTAATCCCAGCTACTTGGGAGGCTGAGACAGGATAATCGCTTGAACCCGGGAGGCAGAGGTTGCAGGAGCCGAGATCATGCCATTGCACTCCAGCTGGGGCAACAGAGTGAGACTCCATCTCAAAAAAAAAAAAAATTATCAGCCAAGAATTTTGTATGCAGTGAAAGTAAGGCTTCATAAATGAAGGAAAGATATAGTCTTTTCCAGATAAACAAATGCTGAGAGAATTCGCTACTACCAAGACAGCACTACAAGAACTGCTAAAAGGAACTAAAATCTTGAACAAATCCTCAAAATACACCAAAATAGAACCTCCTTAAAGAATAAATCTCACAGGACCTATATAACAATAACACAATGAAAAATAACCGAAAGTATTCAAACAACAAATAACACAATGAATAGAATAGTACCTCGCATCTCAATACTAACATTGAATATAAATGGCCTAAATGCTCCACTTAAATGATACAGAATGGCAGAATGGATAATAATTCACCAAGTTTCTGCCATCTTCAAGAGACTCACCTAACACATAGGGACTCACATAAACTTAAGGTAAAGGGGTAGAAAAAGATATTCCATGCAAATGGACACCAAAAGCAAGCAGGAATAGCTATTCTTACATTGGACAAAACAAACTTTAAAGCAACAGCAGTTAAAAAAGACAAAGAGGAACACTATACAATGATAAAAGGACTAGTCCAACAGGAAAATATCACAATTCTAAATATGCACGCACCTAACACTGGTACTTCAAATTTATAAAACAATTACTACTAGACCTAAGAAACGAGATGGATGGCAACGCAATAATAGTGGGGGAATTTAATACTCCATTGACAGCACTAGACAGGTCATTAAGACAGAAAGTCAAAAAAGAAACAATAGACTTAAAGTATACCCTACAACAAATGGACTTAACGATTTTTACAGAACATTCTACCCAACAACTGCAGAATATACATTCTATTCATCATTACATAGAACATTCTCCAAGATAGACCTTATGATAGGCCACAAAATAAGTCTCAGTAAATTTAAGAAAATTGAAATTATATCAAGTACTCTCTCAGACCACAGTGGAATAAAATTGGAAATCAATCCAAAAGGAACCCTCAAAACCATGCAATAACATGAAAATTCAATAACCTGCTCCTGAATGATCATTGGGTCAACAATGAAATCAAGATGGAAATTTAAAAATTCTTTGAACTGAACAATAACAGTGACACAACCTATCAAAACCTCTAAGATACAGCAGAGGCAGTGCTAAGAGGAAAGGTCATAGCGTTAAATGCCTATATCAAAAAGTCCGAAAGAGTACAAATAGACAATCTAAGGTCACACCTCATGGAGCTGGAGAAACAAGAAAAATCTAAACCCAAACCCAGCAGAAGAAAAGAAATAACCAAGATCAGAGCAGAACTAAATGAAATTAAAACAAACAAACAAAAGTACAAAAGATTAATGAAACAAAAAGCTGGTTCTTTGGAAAGATAAATAAAATTGATAGACCGTTAGTGAGATTAACCAAGAAAAGAAGAGAGAAGATCCAAATAAGCTCAACTGGAAACGAAATGGGAGATATTACAACTGATAACACAGAAATACAAAGGATTATTGAGGCTGCTATAAACACCTTTATGTGCATAAACTAGAAAACCAAGAGGAGATGGATGGATAAATTTGTGGAAATATACAGTCCTTCAAGATTAAACCAGGAAGACATAGAATCTCTGAACAGACCAATAACAAACAATGAGATTGAAATGGTAATAGAAAAATAACCAGCAAAAAAAAGTCCAGGAACAGATGGATTCACAACTTAATTCTATCAGACATTCAAAGAAGAAATGGTACCAATCCTATTGACACTATTCCAAAAGATAGAGAGAATCCTCCCTAAATCATTCTATGAAGCCAGTAACACCTGAATACCAAAACCAGGGAAGGACATAACAAAAAAAGAAAACTACGGACTGATATCCCTGATGAATACAGATGCAAATATCTTCAACAAAATACTAGCTACCTCAATCCAATAGGATATTAAAAAGATAATCCACCATGATCAGGTAGTATTCATGCCAGAGATGCAGGGATGGTTTAACATACATAAATCAATAAATGTGATACACCACACAAACAGAATTAAAAACAAAAATCACATGGTCATCTCAGTAGATGCAGAAAAAGCATTTGACAAAACCAGCATCAAAATCCTCAGCAAAATTGGCATAGAAGGGACATACCTTAAGGTAATAAAAGCCATCTATGACAAACTGACAGTCAACATTATACTGAACAGGGAAAAGTTGAAAGCATTCCCAGTGAGAACTGGAACAAGACAAGGATGCTCACTTTCACCACTTCTACTCAACATAGTACGGGAAGTCCTAGCCAGAGCAATCAGACAAGAGAGAAATAAAGGGCACCCAAATCAGTAAAGAGGAAGTCAAATTGTCACTGTTTTTGATGATATGATCGTATATCTAGAAATCCCTAAAGACTCATCCAAAAAGCTCCTAGAACTGGTAAATGAATTCAGCAGGGTTTCAGGATACAAAATTAATGTACACAAATCAGTAGCTCTACTGTACACCAACAATGACCAAGCTGAGAATCAAATCAAGAACTCAGTTCCCTTTACAACACCTGCAAAAAAATTAAATACTTAGGAATATACCTAACCAAGGATGTGAAAGACCTCTACAAGGAAAACTACAAAACACTGCTGAAAGAAATCATAAGCGACACATGCAAAAAAAACAAACACATCCCTTGCTCATGGATGGGTACGATCAATATTGTGAAAATGAACAAACCGCCAAAAGCAACCTACAGATTCAATGCAATTCCCATCAAAATACCACCATTATCCTTCACAGAGCTAGAAAAAACAATCTTAAAATTCATATGGAACCAAAACCCACATAGCCAAAGCAAGACGAAGCAAAAAGAACAAATCTGGAGGCATCACATTATCTGACTCCCAACTATACTATAAGGCCATAGTCACCAAAGTAGCATGGTACTGGTATAAAAACAGGCACATAGTCCAATGGAACAGAATAGAAAACCCAGAAAGAAAGCAAAATACAGCCAACTGATCTTCCGTAAAGCAAACAAAAACACAAAGTGGGGAAAGCACATCCTATTCAACGAATGGTGCTGGAATAATTGGCAACCCACATACAGAAGAATGAAACTGAATCTTCATTTTTCATCTTACACAAAAATCAACTCAAGATGGATCAAGACTGAAATCTAAGACCTGAAACCATAAAGATTCTGGAAGATAACTCAGAAAAACCCTTCCAGACATTGGCTTAGGCAAAGACTCCATGAGCAAGAACCCAAAAGCAAATGCAACAAAAGAAAGATAAATAGATGGGACCTAATTAAATGAAAAAGCTTCAGCACAGCAAAAGAAATAATCAGCAGAGTAAACAGACAACCCACAGAGTGGGAGAAAATTTTCGTAAACTATGCATCTGACAAAGGACTAATATCCAGAATCTACAAAGAACTCAAACAATCAGCAAGAAAAAAACAACAACAAACAATCCCATTAAAAAAGCGGGCTAAGGACATGAATAGACAATTCTCAAAAGAAGATATACAAATGGCCAACAAACATATGGAAAAATGCTCAACATCACTAATTATCAGGGAAATGCAAATCAAAACCACAATGCGATACCACCTTACTCCTGCAAGGATGGCCATAATAAAAAAAAATAGATGTTGGCATGGATGCAATGAAAAGGGAACACTTTTACACTGTTTGTGGGAATGTAAACTAGTATAACCACTATGGAAAACAATATGGAGATTCCTTAAAGAACTAAAAGGAGATCTACTATTTGATCCAGCAATCCCACTACTAGGTATCTACCCAGAGGAAAATAAGTCATTATACAAAAAAGAAACTTGCACATACATGTTTATAGCAGCACAATTTACAATAGCAAAAATATGGCACCAGTCAAAAGGCCCATCAATCAACGAGTGGATAAAGAAAATGTGGCATATATATACCATGGAATACTATTCAGGCATAAAAAGGAACAAAATAATGGCATTCGCAGCAGCCTGGATGGAAATGGGGACTATTATTCTAAGTAAAGTAACTCAAGAATGAAAAACCAAACTTTGCATGTTCTCACTCATATGTGGGAGCTAAGCTATGAGGACACAAAGGCATAAGAATGATACATTGGACTTGGGGACTCAGGGGAAAGGGTGGGGGATGGTGAGGGATAACAGACTACACATTGGGTACAGTGTACACTGCTCGGGTGATGGGTACACCAAAATCTCAGAAATCACCACTAAAGAACTTATTCATGTAAACAAACACAACCTGTTCCCCAAAAGCGATTGAAATACAAAAATAAATAATAAACACTCGGAAAAAAAAAATAGCCTCAAGTAACTACTGGCTACAGTATTTGAAAGGCACACCTCTAAATCTTAATTTTTTTCCTTTCTAAAATGGGAGTAGGCATGTGCAGTGGCTCACATCTGCAATCCCAGCACTTTGTGAGGCCAAGGTGGAGCCCAAGAGTTCAAGAGCATCCTGATCATCATGGGGAGACTCTTGTCTCTACAAAAAGTAATAATAATAACAAAAAATAGCCAGGTGTGGTGTCACATGTCTGTGGTCCCAGCTATTTGGGAGGCTGAGGCAGGAGGATGGCTTGAGCCCAGGAGCTTGAGCTGCAGTGAGCCGTGTTCTCACCACTTGCACTCCAGTTGGGGCGACAGAGCAAGACCCTATCTCAAAAATACATACATACATACATACGTACATACATAAATATAAAATCAGAGTAATAGTTATAATCAAATTCTTGACCAAAGGATCAGATAATACATGTGAACTTTGAAAAACTAAAAAATACAAGTATTACTTTATGTAGATAACTATTTTATTATTGTTTTATACTCAAGAATTTCTATCATTTTGAATCAGAGGAAAATGGAATAAGCAGCCTGAGAAAACTGAGTTCCCCATATCTGGTAGAGTTTTGAGGCTGTCTGGCAATAAAGAACAAAAATATCCCGTAGAGTTAAGCTAAATCATCCCTCTATTACCTGCAGAGACCTTCCCTGGGAGGTCCTCTTTGACTCCCTGGACTGAATTAATGGTCCTCTAGGTATAACCATGACACTTTTCACACTGTATTGTAAAAAAAAGTGGTCTGTCTGCTCAACTTTACCCAAGAACAGGTGCCTCTGATCCCCGTGTCCTTCCGGTTGTCAACCGCTGGGTACATAGTATATCCTCAATCTGTATTTGTTGAATAATTCACTAGCACTGTATTCGTGAGGGTATGGTTCTCCGGATAACTTAAGTAACTACTAATCTGTGGTAAACAGAACAGCTCTTTAAGGACGATGCAGATGAATACTGGCTGCTGTAACGGCCCAGTTGGTGCATCTCGGATGCCAGGAGGCGGTCCAGTGCTGATCTCTTTCTTTTGCCCTTCCCTCCCGCCCTTCCAGTCTGTGGGATATAGAGGACCTCACAGTCACGAGGTCGCGACGGTCCGTGCCGTCGTGGAGACAAGCGGGACACGGAGAGAGAACTACATTTCCCAGCTGACTCTCCTGCGCGCGCCCTTGCCTGCGCGCGGGGGGCGAGTGCACCGGGCGCTCGCTCCCTGCCGAGCTCTTGTCGCCCGCCCGAGCCTTTGCCAGGGGATGAGGTGGGAGGCGCTAGAAACCACTTAGCTACAGCCAACCGCCCAATGCAGCACTCGCTCGCTCCCCCCGCCAGCGGAAGCGTCCGCGAAGCACAATGCAGCACTGAGCCGCGGTGGAGGTTGCAGCGCCACGGCCGCCGCAGCACCGGCCGGGGCTGGGTGGAGGTGGCCGCGGGGACCCCGGGGGCGCGGAGCGAGGGAAACGGACTCGGCGGCGCCGGCATGAGGAGCTGAGCGTCTCGGGCGAGGCGGGCTGACGGCAGCACCATGCAGGCGGCAGTGGCTGTGTCCGTGCCCTTCTTGCTGCTCTGTGTCCTGGGGACCTGCCCTCCGGCGCGCTGCGGCCAGGCAGGTAAGTTAGCCGTCCTCTGTGCCTTTGGGCCATACCATTTCCCGGGAATCTTTGGAGCCCTCAGGCGTATTGAAAAGGGGGCATCCCCATTTCCCGAGTGCGCGGGGAGATTTTTTTTTTTTTTTTTTTTAATTCGGGAGGGTGGTGAGAAGTGGAGCAAAAATATATGTGTGGAGGCGCGCAGATGCACTGGAAGCCTTCGGTCAAAGCCTGTTTTTCTCCTTCTGAAGAGGAATGGGGAGAATGGGAAAGGGGTGCCCTGCTTCTGGGCCCCGCTCCTGGTTGCTCTCGGATGAGCTGGTCCAAGGCTCTCGGGCTGGTGTCTCTGCGTCCTTCCCAGTTGGGTTCCGAGAGGGAGGGGGCGGTGGGGATTTTCGTAGGGGAGACGTAGGACTGCAGGATGGAGGAGTGAGGGTCAGGGTCATTATTTTCGCCTTTTCTCTCCACTCCCTCCTTTCCCGGTTCCTGCCTGGAGGAGACGCCTCATTGATGGAGCTAGAGAAGAGGAAGGAAAACCGCTTCGTGGAGCGCCAGAGCATCGTGCCACTGCGCCTCATCTACCGCTCGGGCGGCGAAGACGAAAGTCGGCACGACGCGCTCGACACGCGGGTGCGGGGCGACCTCGGTGGCCCGCAGGTGAGAGGCTCGGTCCGGGAGGTGGTCCTCCGCGCCTCCCGGCCCACCCGAGACCCCACGATTGCGCTCGGTTGCCCTGGAGATCCCATGTCTTCTTGGGTGAAATGAGTTGGGTCCCGATGCGAGTCATGCATGGCGCTCCCTGTGCAAAAAAGAAGGGGAAAAGGGTACAAAAAAGAACCAAAATAACCACAGGCCGAGGGCTTTGCCCGAGGGGAGTTTGTGCGGGGTGCCTTCAGCAGTGCGGTGAGCTGAGAGAACAGGCGGAGAGCCCTCTGACATCTGTCAAGCAAAAGCCAGGCATGCACAGCGAGAAGGGAGGTAGTATTTGGGCAGGGTTTGAATCATCATTGTTGTTGTTTTACTCCTCAAAGAGACTTCATAAGTGATTTAACCCAAGGTTGACACTGTAAGAAAAAATTGGAAAAAAACAAGGCTAGACGTTCTTAAGAAACCCAACTGTAAAAACAAGCTGAACTTTAAGGTTCTATTCGCACACATTTGTGGACACCAGAGATATGCCCATTCACCCCTACCTTCTAGAAAAGGTGTCCTCCTCCGACTTTCTTTATTGGTAGCAGTTCTCTTGGTTTAATTAGGGCTGTGCTGTTTGTTGAGCATTTATAAATTATGTTTTTAAAAATCTAGTTTTTATCACTGTATCTGTATTTAAATCAAGATCACACATTCACAGATATGCCTGAAAATTACTGTGAATTTATTGACAAATTTAAGTAAATACTTCTGGGGCTGTGTATTTTTTTATTTCTACACATCAGCTGATCAGGCAGTTCACCCACCTGTAAGTCCATATTAAGATAGGACTTGTTCATGTACTTGAAAATTTTTGTAAACTTTACTGAAGCAATGGCAAGCCAAACCTTTTCACATGTATAAATATATTCATCAGTGCTTTAAGATATATCTTGATGATGTGATAATTATACTAACTTATCTGTATGTGTGAAATATGTAAAAATAGAAAATATTACTTAAATCTGTATTTGTAGCCAAGTAGTTGGTACTGTTAACATTTTGTTAATAGAAGGTGGGAAATTAGCTTAAAGGGCTACATAATATCCATCAAAGATTATTTTAGTAGAAAATCCCAATATGTTAAGCTTTTAATGATGGATTCTTTTATGTGAATTAATGGTTGGTAAATGCCTATTTTCCTTTTCCATTTTGACTCGTTTCAATGGTAAAACTGAAGAAGCAGGGGCCATAGTTTCCCTATGTCATCGTATTTTTCAATTAATTAAGATTATTTCTGTGGAAGGATATTTTCACACCATTTGCAACCTTTTATTATAAAAAATTTCAAACACAAAAGAGTAGGATAAATTAATGAACCCCCAGCTCCAACAATTAGCAACTCATGGCCAATCTTGTTTTGTCTATACCCTACGTATTTCTTTTTCTATTTCCTTTCCCTCTCTATATTGTATTGAAGCAAATCATATCATTTCATTCATAAAAATTATAGGAATTTACCACTAAACAGTAAGGATTCTTTTAAAAATGCAACCATGTTACTGTATTTTCAAAAATTAGGAGTAATTTCTTACTACTATCAAATATCCTGTTTTTCAAATTTCCAGTTCTCGTAAATATGTATGTATATATGTATATGTATGTGTGTGAATGTTTATATGTGTGTGTATATATATTATATATATATATATAGAGAGAGAGAGTATATTTAGAGTATATATTTAAGTAAGTTTGTCTGGACCAGGACCCAGATAATGTCTGTAGATTGCAATTAGTTTATTTATTTATTTTTTGTGACAGGGTCTCACTCTGTCACCCAGACAGGAGTGCAGTAGCACGATTATGGCTCACAGCAGCCTTGACCTCTTGGGCCCCAGTGATCCTTCCACCTCAGCTTCCTGAGTAGCTTGGATTACAGGCATGTGCCACCTTATCTGGCTAATTAAAAATTTGTTTTTGTAAAGATGGGATTTCACCATGTTGCGCAGGCTGGCCTTGAACTCCTGGGCTCAAATCATCTGCTGGCCTCGGCCTCCCAAAATGCTGGGATTACAGGTGTGAGTTGTGGGGGCCTAGCCTGTTTTTCTGTTTTCTAAAAGGTCTTTTAATGTGTGGTTCTTTCCCCTCTATTTCTTTTTTTTCCCCTTGCAATTTTTTCAGTGAAGACATGGAGTCTTTCATCTTGTAGAGTTGCTCAGAGTCAAGATTTTGCTGTTGTAGCCAGTGCTTTAAAACAATTCACAAAGACTTTCTAGGAGAGGAAGAGAGACTGAGGGAAGAAGAGATACAGAAAAAGAAAATGACAGGATTGAACCTGGAAACTCACAGAATCTCTGACTCATGCTGGAAATGTCTTTGGGTACCTCTTGCCTTTTCTGTGTTGGTGAAAGACCACCACTTTTGAAAAGTGGAGGAGGTCAGTCCTCCTTTTCTCCCCATTTATGGAGCACCACTTGTGCAGTTTTTTGATTCACAGGAGTCTTGACTTGGGGTGGAAAGCTATTTTGGGTTCATAGAGCTTCTACTCCCTATAGCAATAAACATCACAATAGAGAAGAATGACTGGTTTTTGGTGAAGTATGAATGAATTGGTAGGATTTAGGTTTAAAAGTATGAATAGATGATTAATTCAAGTCAGAAATGAAAGCAATGATACCATCTTATAGTAATTATTACAAAACGTTATCCCAGTGCCTGGGATATGTGTACATAGTAAGGTACACATAGTACATGTTGATGTCTCTATCACTTGGGAGCCACTGCACTTTACCATGCTGCTTAAACTACAGGTGGAAATCATTGACAACTAGGACCAAATCTGACAAAATTTTAAAGACCTGTTTATCTTAGGCCAACTTTTCCTACAGTTAGGAAACAGAGGAGTTTTCTTGCACTATTGGCATTTCTAGTTTCCCTAAGAGCAATCATTGGATTGAAAAACATAAGTTGATTTTTTATGGCCCTTGTTATTTCTCTAATACTTAAATAGTTCTAATTTATGGCATTTTAATTTTAGATACCCATAGATTTTTTTTTTTTTTTTTTTTTTTTTTTGTGAGATGGAGTCTTGCTCTGTCACCCAGGCTGGAGTGCAATGGCGTGATCTCAGCTTATTGCAACCTCCACCTCCTGGGTTCAAGCGATATTCCTGTCTCAGCCACCTGAATAACTGGGATTACAGGCACCCACCACCATGCCCAGCTAATTTTTGTATTCTTAGTAGAGACAGGGTTTCACCATTTTGGCCAGGCTGGTCTAGAACTCCTGACCTCAAGTGATCCTCCCACCTCGGCCACCCAAAGTGCTGGGATTACAAACATGAGCCACCATGCCTGGCCACCCATAGATATGTTTATCAACTTCCTTTCTACTTCATAAATAAAATCAGGGTGATTTTCTGTGAACTCAAAAAGCTTATATAGATTTGTTGATTTGTTTCTTTAAAAGGCATTTATTTATTTATTTTATTTATTTTTTTCTTTTGAGATGGAGTCTCACTCTCTTGCCCAGGCTGGATGGAGTGCAGCGGCACAATCTCAACTCATGGCAAGGTCCACCTCCCTGGTTCAAGCGATTCTCCTGCCTCAGCCTCCCAAGTAGCTGGGACTACAGGCGCGTGCCACCACACCTGGCTAATTTTTTGTATTTTTAGTAGAGACAGGGTTTCACCATGTTAGCCAGGATGGTCTCAATCTCCTGACCTTGTGATCCGCCCACCTTGGCATCCCAAAGTGCTGGGATTACAGGCGTGAACCACCGCGGCTGGCCTAAAAGGCATTTATTTATTTGTGCTCCTACTCTGTACCAATTTTTATGCAAGACTGTGGGCATTTAGAGATAAAAGACACAGTTTTCTTTTAAGGAATTCTTAAAGACGTGGAAGATGAGTGGGTGAATAAACAGTTATACTTTGCCTTGTGATTTTCTGGAGGTGATCACAGAGGCCAGCGGAGGCAGAGAAGGCTAGTACTTAACCCAGGTGAGCAGTCAGGGTGGGATCTCTGGGGAAGCCGTGTTTCAAGGGTGAGTTTGGAATTGCTGCATTAAAAGGAAGGGTGAGCATATCCAACCAAAGAGGCAGTAAGTACATAGGTACATGGGAATCAGGGTATGTTTTTGTTAATTGCAAATAGTAAAGATTTCAGGGACAGATAAGATAAAACAGGAAAGCAAAGAGTAGATGCTGTGGCACTTTCATGACTTGCTGAGGAATTTGGAATTTGTCCTGAAGGCAGTCAAAGGATTTCAGTTAGGAGAGTTAACTGACCAGATTCATGTTATTGTCAGATAATCCTAATTGTTAGAATGAATAATTTTAATTTCAAAGAGCACGTGACTGTAGCTGTGTACTTTAGTTCACTAGTAAATGTTCACATAATCTTTAAGAATCATAAGAACTTAGTAAATATACTGAAAATAACTATAAATGAGTTAATATTTATAATGCACTTACAACAATGCTGGGCATAGAGTAAGCACTATATGAGTCTTTGTTAAATAACATTAACTCCTTCAGGCTGCTTGAGTACTATTTAGATATTTTATGACATCACTTGAATGCAAAATGGTGCCTTAATTACCTGAGTTTAACATAGTCCCAGAAGTATGTTAGAAATTACTCAAATTTATATTTAACTAAGTGGAATCAAATAGTCCTAGAGATAGAAGAGAACTTATAGGTTATCTAACCTAATTCAGGAATTACTTTTCACTTGTTAAGAGCAAGCCATTGGCTGGGCATGGTGGCCCACACCTGTAATCCCAGCACTTTGGGAGGCCGAGGTAGGTGGATCATTTGAGGTCAGGATTCGAGACCAGCCTGACCAATATGGTGAAACCCGCCTCTATGAAGGGTACAAAAATTAGCCTGGTGTGGTGGTGGGCACCTGTAGTCCTGAGCCTGAGGCATGAGAATCACTTGAACCTGGGAGGCGGAGGTTGCAGTGAGCAGAGATGGTGCCACTGCACTCCAGCCTGGGCGACAGAGCAAGTCTTTATCTCAAAAAAAAAAAAAAAAAAAAAAAATCAAGCCATTCACCAAGATGGATATGCTGATTACCCTGATCTGATCAGTATGCATTGTATGCATCAAAACATCACTATGTACCCCATAAATATGTATAGTTATTATATGTCAATTTTTTAAAAGGTTAAAAAGAGTATGGAAATCAGCAATGTATTACTTAATGTTTCAGAAAGCTTCCAAGAACTACAATGATATAAACCACATTAATTTTACTCTTAATGTGTCCTTGTTTCAATTTTCATCCCCAAATTGGGACAGAAAAATTTTAGAAGAAATTTTCATTGTAGTTCTTTTAAATGTTGACAATTTGATTGGTTTTAAATAGTAATTCTGTTGATATAAGTACATATTGTAAGTGATTTCTTTACTGTATGGTTACTTGAATGCATATACTTTATTTTTATCACAAGTGGGAGGATCAGCCCACTACTGAAAGCTTATTATGCCACAAAGTCCTAGAAATGGTAGTCAAAGTAATTATATTTGACTGTGGGTAGCCTTGCTATCTTCAAAGTTGTTTACCTAGTCTAAAGTAATTTCATTCCTGGAAAATAGCATTCAGGCCTAGAATATTCAAAATATTGAGAGCCTTTCTTCTGTCTTGAAATTATTTGTGCTGAAAGAATTGTATGTTTGCAGGTAAAAGGATAAAACTTATACTTTTACCTGGACTTCTGTGTAGGCAAGATATCACCTACTGAGTCTTATTGATGGTTTGATACTACTCATTGTTTGATACACATAATTGCTATTTTTTGAATAAGCACCTTAATGATTCTTTTTTGTCAACTAAGCGTCACAGATTTACATCCAGGATGTTATTTTGTGGTTTATTTTGTTGTGTTTTCACCCCATACATTTTTAATACTTTGTTTTTTACCCAGTGATTATATATTTCTACAAGGAGCAAAATTTCTTTTTGTTGGAAGCCTTTGTTGTCAGTGAATAGACGGGCTAACTTTTTTCCTCTGGCTCTTTCCCTAGGAAGTGTTATAGCTTCCCAAGTACTAAAGTGCCAAGGACATAGATCTACAGTTTGTCATAGTTTTGATAACCAGTAACAAATGGGAAAAATGCCAAATGGCAGCAAGATGGCAAGCAGTAGGTGTGCTCCATTTTTATTGATGTACTTATACATATTCCTGTGCATGGATGAGCTGTACTTTACATTGTGCTGTTTCATTGAGGGGCACTGAGTCAGCTTGATGGTAAATTGTCTGCAGTACTGCTTCCGTGGCGGAAAATGGCTCCTAGGAATTACAACTTTGGAAGTATTTTGCGAGGGTAGCACAAACTTTTTTTTTTTATACTGTGCATTTGTTAAAGTAAGTGGCTCAATATTGATAACCTTTTGCCACCAATCAGAACTTTGTTCTACTGCTATAAATAGGAGACATTTCACAATGAATTTTTATTCTCCTACCAACCATCTTCTTTTCCAATTAAATTGTAAAAAAAAGTAAAATTCAGAATCGTAGGAGTTTCCCTTAGTCTTGTTTTTATGCTATGAAATCCCAATTTGTATATATATGTATTTTTCGTATCTTTAAAATTCTACCTAATGAGGTTATGGTGCACAGAAGGAATCAGTCTTTCATCACTTCTGTATAGCTACACATAGGAAACTAACTATGAATGACTCTAAGAGCTTATAGGTTGATAAAAAATGTTCCTATTTTTATTTGCTTTCTCATATTGCAAAGAATGCCAAGAGTTCTCCTGTTGTTTTTAACAAATAGAGTCCCTTAGAAGAACTTGGAGAGAGGCCTGCTTTTTTCTCACAACACACTGAGAACAGGAATCTGTAAGGTCGGTAGTATTCCCTAACTCCAGTGGGGCTAATTAGATAGGGCCATATTTATCATTAAGTAGCATGGATAAGCCCCAAAGGGAAAGAAGATAGATGTTCATAAAAGTGGGGCTGGGGGATGGAGCAGAAGAAAAGGTAGAGTCCTTGAGGGGAATGGTGAGAAGGTGGAAGGAAAAGGAAATGATAAAAAGAGAAAAATACTTTTAATAGTGTCACTATATATGTTATATACTAAAATAGCTAAATATATGGTAACTTACATGGCTACCTTTTATGTGCCAAATGGTCTTCTGAATACTTGATGTACATTAATTCATTGCGTCCTCAAAAAAATCATGTGTGACAGGTAATACTTATCTGTAAAGTCACAAAGCTGATAGGGGATTTGAACCTAGGCACTTCAGCTCCACCGCACTGCCTATGTGCTTAACTACTATGCTAGACTGGTCTTATGGAAGGGGGCCACCAACGATTCTTTAGATGCCATTAAATGTTGCTGGAGTCAGATTTCTTACATTTACCCCATTGGAACTATATATGACTTTTAGTGCCTGAAAAATATATACATTTTAAAGTTAGACAATAGTGAAGAAGCTTGCAGAGCACAACAGGAATGTTTCATTTTTATTATCTTGAAAATGAAAATGGAATTTGTGAGGATATCTGACATTTAAATGGTGAAAAACACCTCTTGAAGGACACGTGTCCTATTTGTTTGTAGATATGTACACTCTCTGTTACACTCGTTCATCGTAAGTCACATATTAGTATTCAGCAATCAACACCAAAATTGTATATGCCTTTTTGTGGTCAAAGTTTCATAGGTAGAAACATTAATTGCTAAGCAGGGATCCATATTCATATATTTTTCTCCAAAAGAAAAAATACAAAGTATCTTTTATGCCTTCATAGAACTAGCAGTACCAGAGTCCCAAACGTGATATCATTCAGGTAAAAGAGATATGTAATCAATAATAACAAAAAATGATAGCTTCTGAAAACATGTAGTTGAATGTGTTTACTTTGATAATAAAAGCACTTGCAAGCAAACATTGGGGGAAATAGTTGAAAAAATAAGGATTAGTATTTATTAACTTAAATAAATATAAACATTTATAATATATAAGTATAAATATATAATATATACAAAATATAAATAATATATAACTTTTTTTGTCATGTACCAGGCATTGTATTGAGTGATTTACATGCATTATCTCTCATTATGAGGTAGATACTGTTATACCCATTTGAAGATGAGGAAACTGAAGTTAATTAACCTGCCTAAGGTTATACAGGTAATAAGTGGTAGAAGTGGGAATAGGATTCTCAAAATGTTAGACATCAACATAAAATAATCTTTTATAATCTTTACTACTTATTTGACATGTGGTTTCCCATTTATCTCTGTGTTGGAACATACCTAACGTTATTTCTTGGTCTGGCCCAGGTCTCCTCCCTAGCTAACTTGCAGTTATTTTACATATAATTAAAATAGAGTACAACATGCTGTATTTTTTAAAATAGAAATATTTTATATAAAAATGATTTTTGACTTCTGGCTATCCTTTACTTTTGATTTTATCATTAGAGTTCCTTTTAAAATAGAAGTTTGTTTTGTTTCCCCCAGGACAGACTGTTCTCTGTAACTTGATTTTGAAAATAAAATTGAAAATTTTGTACCATGATCCAGAAATATCAGCGGTTCTAACTGGAAAGAGAAGGAATAAAGAACGTAAATCATTCTCCCCTACCCCTAAATATGCTTGTTATTTGTGTTGAAGAGATTTTCAGAATCATGTATCAGCGAGGTTAAATGAACATTTTTCTTCTCCTTTTTAAAATTTAATTTTGTACTAGGGGATTTTAGCACTTAGCAATAATTGCCCTTTTGTTGCATTTTTTGTCTCAAGTAAAGATTGTTAGATAACTCTTTGAAGATGAGAAATCGATGGTGCTTTTCTGCAGATAGGCCTTGAGAGCTCACATTTTGCAAGTGATTTTAAAATTTTCTAGCTGAGGCAGAACTCCTGGTTGAGTTGTGTGAGACCACTTATTCTGCTTCACACTGCCCCATGTCTCTAGCTTTTACCTCTAGTTGGTCAATTTCTATTCTGCTTTATTTTTTTTTTTTCAATTTGCCTTTTAAGTAGGTTTGTTTCGGAGGAATTGCCTTCATTTCCTCCACTAGTGAGGTTAGGGGATTTGAACCTAGGCACTTCAAGGTTAGGATGAGGTTAGGATGTTGGGGGTCAGGCTGGTACACACAATTTGCTGGTACACACAATTTGGTCATTGCTCAAGCTTTTTTCTCTGTGTGGTTTTCTTTCTTTGGATTAAACAGCATGATGCTACAGGAAGAGCTACCACTTGACAGAACCTGGTTCTGCAGATTTCTTTGATTTCCCTAGTGGATTTTTAATGCCTTTGGGATATCCTGTTAGTGTTCTGTTGAGGAACTCAGCTGTGGCTCCTCAGCAGGCATAAGTGGCAGTTGAGGCTACACATAGCTTGGTGGTATTAATCTAAAGTAGGCTGGAGAGGGAGCGAGGCGAGCAGTTACCTGAGGAATGATCTAGGATCATCAGATATGGTCAGGAACAGGCTGTAGGTAAAAGGGTGGTGGCAGGTGAGGCTCAGGGAAATCAGAGAGCAAATGATCAAGAGAAGATACTAGGCTGGTCAGGTCAGTATCCTTCTGGCTCAACTAGAAAGAGCTACCTGAAAGAGTCTGAAGCACTTTCTGAGTTTCTGGCTCCACCCTTGATCTGTGTCTTAGGTCTTTAAAGGGAAACTTGTGTTTTTTTTTTTTTTGTTTTTTTTTTTTTAGTCAGTCTTGTTCTCATCCACACATGAGCTTTAAGTATTCGGTTCCTCCTCCTTCCTTCTTCTTCTTCCTTCCTATTCTATATGTGTGTGTTTTTTTCTTTTTCTTTTTATTATTTCTTCCTCCTCTTTCTTTACCTTCTTGTCTTTCACCTCTTTCTTCTTCTTGGTCTTTGTAAAGGTCTGCAGGCTAGTGAGAGAATGCTTTAAGGGGCTTCACACTTCTCCCCATTTTACAGTTTAGACTTTAGACACTGTGCCTTGCATGGATCAGGAGATGAGACCATTAAATATTGATTTCCTAATTTATGCAGGAGTTTTTCATACTCTAAAAAATCAGTTTGTACAAAATGAGCAACATCTTATTTTGAATAGCATGTGGTATGTGTTAAATAAATGTATGTTGTGTAAATGAAGAGTCCCTAAGTTAGAATTTGGAAAATTCGTTCTTACTGAGATGGATAATTTTGGTGTCAGTCATGGTTTGCCATAGATTGTGAATTTTCAAGGTTGGTATTAGCTGCAGCTTACAAATAGTTAGGAATGCTTTCATGTGCCTTCCAGAAAAACTTTAAGTAAGTGTTTAATAAGGATAGGATTTTGAAAAACAGATATATTTACAAATTTGCCAGTATGCTGAAGAATGAAGCCAATTATTTCTTTTCTTTTCTTTCTTTTTTTTTTTTTTTGAGATGGAGTCTCACTCTGTCGCCAGGCTGGAGTGCAGTGGTGCCATCTCAGCTCACTGCAACCTCCACCCTCCGAGTTCAAGCGATTCTCCTGCCTCAGCCTCCTGAGTAGCTGGGATTACAGGCGCCTGCCACCGCACCCAGCTAATTTTTTGTATTTTTAGTAGAGACGGGGGTTTCACCTTCTTGGCCAGGCTGGTCTTGAACTCCTGACCTCGTGATCCACCCGCCTCGGCCTCCCAAAGTGCTAGGATTACAGGCGTGAACCACCACGCCCGGCTGAAGCCATTATGTCTTAGGAAGAACTTTATTGACTTTGGTAGAAACCTTAACATCATCAAAGATGATGAAAGTTTTGGATGTATATCCAGTAATAGACTGCTGGATTGAATGGTAGTTCTGTTGTAAGTTCTTTGAGAAATTTCCAAATTGCTTTCCACAGTGGCTGAATAAGTTCATTCCCACCAAGAGTGTGTAAGTGTTCCCTTTTCTCCTTACCCTCATCAGCATCTGTTTTTTTGACTTTTTAATAATAGCCATTCTGACTGATGTGAGATGGTATCTCATTGTGGTTTTGATTTGCATTTCTCTGATGATTAGTGATGTTGAGCATTTTTTTTACTTGTTTGTTGGCTGCTTGTATGTCTGCTTTTGAGGAGTGTCTATGTCTTTTGCCTATGTTTTATTGGGATTATTTATTTTTTGCTTGTTGAATTAAGTTCCTTATAGATTCTGGATATTACACTTTCATTGGATGCATAGTTTGCTAATATTTTGTTGAATTCTGTAAGTTATCTGTTTACTCTGTTGATAGTTTCTTTTGCTGTGCAGAAGCTCTTGAGTTTAATTATGTCCTACTTGACAATTTTGTTTTTGTTGCAATTGCTTTGAGGACTCGGTCATAAATTCTTTCTCAAGGCCGATTTCCAGAATGGTGTTCTCTAGGTATTCTTCTAAGATTCTTATAGTTTGAAGCATCTTGAGTTAATTTTTATATATGGTGAAAGTTAGGGGTCCAGTTTCATTCTTCCGCATATAACTAGCCAGCTATCCCAGCATTGTTTATTGAAGAGGGAGTTCTTTCCCCATGGCTTATTTTTGCCCACTTTGTTGAAGATCAGATGGCTGGAGGTATGCAGCTTTGTTTCTGGGCTCTCTATTGTGTTCCACTGGTCTATGTATAGCCAAAAGAAAATAAATCATTCTACCAAAAAGACACATGCACTCATGTTCATTGCACTATTCATAACAGCAAAGTCAGGGAATCAACCTAGGTGCTCATTCATGGTGGACTGGGTAAAGAAAATGTGGTACATATATACCATGGAATACTATGCAGCCTTAAAAATAATGATATTATATCCTTTGCAGCCACACAGATGTGGCGGGAGGCCATTATATTAAGTGAATTAATACAGGAACAGAAAACCAAATACTGTATATTCTCACATATAAGTGGGAGCTAAACATTGGATACTCATGGACATCAAAATGGCAATGGTAGATACTGGGGACTAAGAGAGAGGAAGGGAAGGAGAGGGGCAAGGGTTGAAAAACTAACTGCTGGGTACTATGCTCAGCATCTGCGTGATAGGATCATTCATATCCCAAATCTCAGCATCACTCAATATACCAATGTAACAAACCTGCACATGTATCCCTTGAATCTAAAATAAAAGTTGAAATTATAAAAAAAAGATTATGAAAGCTTTGATTCAGGGCTACAAAAATGTTCTCACTTTTTATGATCCTGTATAGCTGGTTTAGCTGTAAATAGTACATAGCTTTTTTTCTGAATTATTTCCTCGTGAAAGTACCTTCTAACTTGGACAGATATTGAGTGATAAGAAGATAGGGGAAATTCAAGAAGTGTTCATTCCTGTCACCAAAGGTGAAGCCATTCTGGCTAGGTAAGTTACTAGAGGTAAGACTATGTCAAACCACAGTGTATAGCAGTTTTCATTGACTCTCAGAATCCTCTAAAGTAAAAAAAAAAAAAGTGGTGGGGAGAGGATATTGGTGCCGAGATACTAAGAATTTTCACTTAATTTAATTTCTGAGACAAGTTTAGCATGATGTTCTTATAGTTCTTAATAATCTTGAATAGACAATGTTCTCTCATAGTTAACGAGGGAAAAGTACTATTTATTCATAATCAATTTAATATGACATCTACTTGCGGTCTTTGATGAGTGTTTTGGGTGTTTTCTTAAGTGTTCTGATTATGAAATGATGAACTTTGCAGTTATTGTAGGGTTATGGAATAAAAATTATTTTAATTTAATTACACGCAATAACATGGAATGAAGGCATGGACCCTCATCTTCATTTGTATTTCTTTCCATCGTTGAGCACAGACAGAGCCTTGTACATAACAGGTGCTCAACAAGCAAATATTGACTGAATGAAATTGTTGATGCCATGACTTATAGAGGGCCCTGTTTCTTCATTAATGCTCCCATACCCCCAACATTACATCAGGTTTTCCCTGGACAATTGTTTCTTCTCTTTTTTCTTCTTCTCTTTCTTTCATCATCCCTCAATATAGGCTCTGTCACTTTCCTGCAGCCTCTTTCCATTTTCCTGTGTACATAGCTTTGCTCTTTTCTCATTCGGTATGACCCTTGGTTTATTTTGTATTTCCCCCCACTCTATTTCTGCCAAGCGTCTCTTTCTCTATGCAACTAAAGTAAAAACAAGTCTCTGAAAGGTTATTTACATTCAGTGTTGGGAACCATCCCTGTAGCACATTGCTGGACTTATTTTGGGATTTAGAAAATGTGTTATAATTCAACACGCTTTCCATTTTACTACTTACTTGTAAACCTATATTTTGTGAGGTTTTTCTTTTTTTCCATTCATTTGTTTCTGTTGTGCCCCTTGAATTGCTCCTCATTCATTCTCCTCTGTGGATGTGGATTTTAATGTCCCTTCTGCCCTTTATTGCTGGAATAATCTCCTTCCTAAAATCATTTTCCTAGTTCTCACTGCTCATAATCCCCTGGATTTAAGCTTTAAATTATATGCTTAGTTTACCCTCTACATTTGCTGATCATGTCATTTTTCAAAGTCTTTGACAGTAATCCATTGCTACAGGATAGGGATCCATTGCTACATTGCTACAGGATTCATATTCAGTATAAAGGAATGACCAGGCATTTTTATAGGTATTCTAAAAGTAAAATTTGCCTCATAGGCTTGGCATAAAGTTGTGCATGCTTATGTGTCCATTAAGGAGGGGATTGGGGCGCCGATAACTTGGGTGTTAGTAGAAGGTGTTCTTATGAAACAGATTGTAATGTTGGGCTCACAATTGGTTATTCATATTCACTATTGTTTGTGCACTGCTTAGCACTGTGCCTGACACACAGTTGGTGCTCAGTAAATATTTATGGTCTACTTTTGTTTCAATTTTCTTTCACCAAAAATGCAGGAAAAAAGTTCTGTGACCATTTGTTAGTGATTGTATGTACTTTTGAGATAGTTCCAAGAGTTACAATATTTATTTTCTCTGGATTATGTAATGCTTTCGTTGGGATGGCATGGAGAGGATCGTGGACCTCATTCTACTTTTATGGCTAAAGCCCTAAATTCTTTCCTCCTCTTCCTGCACTTATACCCCTCCTGGCCCAGCAGAGCCAGGGCCTGTGTTGGTATGGCCGGGCTCTCAAGGTGAGTGTTTGAATTGAAGTAGCTGTCCCTCTTGCTTCAAATCTGAGTCAGGATTTATTAGGAAAGGCAAAGCCTATTAGGAAAGGCAGGGCCATGATGACGAGGGGAGGGAGACAGCCAAATAAAATGACAGGAACTTGGACAATGATTGGCATACTGACGTTCTACCACATAAAGTCTCCTTGCTGTCTTGAGGCCACTATAATCACTGTGACAAAATCATTCATGTCACTTTATAGCCCTGTCTTTTCCAACAAAAATAAATTCAAGCTATTTAACCTTTTTGTGTGACTTTATTCACCAGACTTTGTCATTCGCTGCCTGGAGCTGCATTTTCTTTAAGACAATGATGTATGTCTTCTGAGAGAGTGACATCTACTATTTCTGATGGATTTGAATTCATATGGCATATTCAGCCAAGGATTTCCCTTACTATTTATTTTTAGGGTTTGATTTTTTTAAACTATGGTTTTGAACTAAGGACAACAACCTTTTTTTTTTCCTATAGCTAAGCCCCAGATATTTTGTCTAAAAATTAAAAATAAATTTCTAGTTTTTATCTTACTTTTATGGACTAACAACCTAATCTAAAATATTCATATTATTTAATATGGATTAATTATGTTAATATAAATTTATATGTAAATATAAAATATAGATAATAAAATATGTAAGTTTACACGTCTATTATATAAATTATAACATTGATTAATATGTTAATATAAAATATTTATATTCTTTTATAACTTTTTTATTTCTTAGGAGGTGGATGTTACCCATACTCCATGAAATCTTCATGCCTCTAAAAGATCTTCATATACTAGTTTAAATCAGAAAAATATACCAGTAGAGAACAGGCACATTAGTATAATTAGCTTCAAGAATTTATATCTCAGTGTAAAAGGAGGCTGTGAAAGTAGCTTTGTAATGTTTCTTTTTTTATTATTATTATACTTTAAGTTTTAGGGTACATGTGCACAATGTGCAGGTTAGTTACATATGTATACATGTGCCATGCTGGTGTGCTGCACCCATTAACACGTCATTTAGCATTAGGTATATCTCCTAATGCTATCCCTCCCCCCTCCCCCCACCCCACAACAGTCACCAGAGTGTGATGTTCCCCTTCCTGTGTCCATGTATTCTCATTGTTCAATTCCCATCTATGAGTGAGAACATGCGGTGTTTGGTTTTTTGTTCTTGCCATAGTTTACTGAGAATGATGATTTCCAATTTCATCCATGTCCCTACAAAGGACATGAACTCATCATTTTTTATGGCTGCATAGTATTCCAGGGTGTATATGTGCCACATTTTCTTAATCCAGTCTATCATTGTTGGACATTTGGGTTGGTTCCAAGTCTTTGCTATTGTGAATAATGCTGCAATAAACATATGTGTGCATGTGTCTTTATAGCAGCATGATTTATAGTCCTTTGGGTATATACCCAGTAATGGGATGGCTGGGTCAAATGGTATTTCTAGTTCTAGATCCCTGAGGAATCGCCACACTGACTTCCACAATGGTTGAACTAGTTTACAGTCCCACCAACAGTGTAAAAGTGTTCTTATTTCTCCACATCCTCTCCAGCACCTGTTGTTTCCTGACTTTTTAATGATTGCCATTCTAACTGGTGTGAGATGGTATCTCATTGTGGTTTTGATTTGCATTTCTCTGATGGCCAGTGATGATGAGCATTTTTTCATGTGTTTTTTGGCTGCATAAATGTCTTCTTTTGAGAAGTGTCTGTTCATATCCTTTGCAAACTTTTTGATGGGGTTGTTTGTTTTTTTCTTGTAAATTTGTTTGATTTCATTGTCGAGTCTAGATATTAGCCCTTTGTCAGATGAGTAGGTTGCAAAAATTTTCTCCCATTCTGTAGGTTGCCTGTTCACTCTGATGGTAGTTTCTTTTGCTGTGCAGAAGTTCTTTAGTTTAATTAGATCCCATTTGTCAATTTTGTCTTTTGTTGCCGTTGCTTTTGGTGTTTTAGACATGAAGTCCTTGCCCATGCCTATGTCCTGAATGGTAATGCCTAGGTTTTCTTCTAGGGTTTTTATGGTTTTAGGTCTAATGTTTAAGTCTTTAATCCATCTTGAATTAATTTGTGTATAAGATGTAAGGAAGGGATCCAGTTTCAGCTTTCTACATATGGCTAGCCAGTTTTCCCAGCACCATTTATTAAATAGGGAATCCTTTTCCCCATTGCTTGTTTTTCTCAGGTTTGTCAAAGATCAGATAGTTGTAGAAATGCAGCGTTATTTCTGAGGGCTCTGTTCTGTTCCATTGATCTATATCTGTGTTTTGGTACCAGTACCATGCTGTTTTGGTTACTGTAGCCTTGTAGTATAGTTTGAAGTCAGGTAGCGTGATGCCTCCAGCTTTGTTCTTTTGTCTTAGGATTGACTTGGCGATGTGGGCTCTTTTTCGGTTCCATATGAACTTTAAAGTAGTTTTTCCCAATTCTGTGAAGAAAGTCATTGGTAGCTTGATGGGGATGGCATTGAATCTATAAATTACCTTGGGCAGTATGGCCATTTTCACGATATTGATTCTTCCTACCCATGAGCATGGAACGTTCTTCCATTTGTTTGTATCCTCTTTTATTTCATTGAGCAGTGGTTTGTAGTTCTCCTTGAAGAGGTCCTTCACATCCCTTGTAAGTTGGATTCCTAGGTATTTTATTCTCTTTGAAGCAACTGTGAATGGTAGTTCACTCATGATTTGGCTCTCTGTTTGTCTGTTATTGGTATATAAGAATGCTTGTGATTTTTGTACATTGATTTTGTATCCTGAGACTTTGCTGAAGTTGCTTATCAGCTTAAGGAGATTTTGGGCTGAGACAATGGGGTTTTCTAGATATACAATCATGTCATCTGCAAACAGGGACAATTTGACTTCCTCTTTTCCTAATTGAAGACCCTTTATTTCCTTCTTCTGCCTAATTGCCCTGGCCAGAACTTCCAACACTATGTTGAATAGGAGTGGTGAGAGAGGGCATCCCTGTCTTGTGCCAGTTTTCAAAGGGAATGCTTCCAGTTTCTGCCCATTCAGTATGATATTGGCTGTGGGTTTGTCATAGATAGCTCTTATTATTTTGAGATACGTCCCATCAATACCTAATTTATTGAGAGTTTTTAGCATGAAGGGCTGTTGAATTTTGTCAAAGGCCTTTTCTGCATCTATTGAGATAATCATATGGTTTTTGTCTTTGGTTCTGTTTATATGCTGGATTGTATTTATTGATTTGCATATATTGAACCAGCCTTGCATCCCAGGGATGAAGCCCACTTGATCATGGTGGATAAGCTTTTTGATGTGCTGCTGGATTCGGTTTGCCAGTATTTTACTGAGGATTTTTGCATCAATGTTCATCAAGGATATTGGTCTAAAATTCTCTTTTTTGGTTGTGTCTCTGCCTGGCTTTGGTATCAGGATGATGCTGGCCTCATAAAATGAGTTAGGGAGGATTCCCTCTTTTTCTATTGATTGGAATAGTTTCAGAAGGAATGGTACCAGTTCCTCCTTGTACCTCTGGTAGAATTCGGCTGTGAATCCATCTGGTCCTGGATTCTTTTTTATTGGTAAGCTATTGATTATTGCCACAATTTCAGATCCTGTTATTGGTCTATTCAGAGATTCAACTTCTTCCCGGTTTAGTCTTGGGAGGGTGTATGTGTTGAGGAATTTATCCATTTCTTCTAGATTTTCTAGTTTATTTGTGTAGAGGTGTTTGTAGTATTCTCTGATGGTAGTTTGTATTTCTGTGGAATTGGTGGTGATATCCCCTTTATCATTTTTTATTGCATCTATTTGATTCATCTCTTTTTCTTTATTAGTCTTGCTAGTGGTCTATCAATTTTGTTGATCCTTTCAAAAAACCAGCTCCTGGCTTCATTAATTTTTTTGAAGGGTTTTTTTTTTGTCTCTATTTCCTTTAGTTCTGCTCTGATTTTAGTTATTTCTTGCCTTCTGCTAGCTTTTGAATGTGTTTGTTCTTGCTTTTCTAGTTCTTTTAATTGTGATGTTAGGGTGTCAGTATTGGATCTTTCCTGCTTTCTCTTGTGGGCATTTAGTGCTATAAATTTCCCTCTACACACTGCTTTGAATGTGTCCCAGAGATTCTGGTATGTTGGGTGTTTGTTCTCGTTGGTTTCAAAGAACATCTTTATTTCTGCCTTCATTTCGTTATGTATCCAGTAGTCATTCAGGAGCAGGTTGTTCAGTTTCCATGTAGTTGAGCGGTTTTGAGTGAGTTTCTTAATCCTGAGTTCTAGTTTGATTGCACTGTGGTCTGAGAGACAGTTTGTTACAATTTCTGTTCTTTTACATTTGCTGAGGAGAGCTTTACTTCCAACTATGTGGTCAATTTTGGAATAGGTGTGGTGTGGTGCTGAAAAGAATGTATGTTCTGTTGATTTGGGGTGGAGAGTTCTGTAGCTGTCTATTAGGTCCGCTTGTTGCAGAGCTGAGTTCAATTCCTGGGTATCCTTGTTAAATTTCTGTCTCGTTGATCTGTCTAATGTTGATAGTGGGGTGTTAAAGTCTCCCATTATTATTGTGTGGGAGTCTAAGTCTCTTTGTAGGTCACTAAGGACTTGCTTTATGAATCTGGGTGCTCCTGTTTTGGGTGCATATATATTTAGGATAGTTAGCTCTTCTTGTTGAATTGATCCCTTTACCATTATGTAATGGCCTTCTTTGTCTCTTTTGATCTTGGTTGGTTTAAAGTCTGTTTTATCAGAGACTAGGATTGCAACCCCTGCCTTTTTTTGTTTTCCATTTGCTTGGTAGATCTTCCTCCATCCTTTTATTTTGAGCCTGTGTGTGTCTCTGCCCGTGAGATGGGTTTCCTGAATACAGCACACTGATGGGTCTTGACTCTTTATCCAATTTGCCAGTCTGTGTCTTTTAATTGGAGCATTTAGTCCATTTACATTTAAAGTTAATATTGTTATGTGTGAATTTGATCCTTTTATTATGATGTTAGCTGGTTATTTTGCTCGTTAGTTGATGCAGTTTCTTCCTAGTCTCGATGGTCTTTACATTTTGGCATGATTTTGCAGTGGCTTGTACCCGTTGTGCCTTTCCATGTTTAGTGCTTCCTTTAGGAGCTCTTTTAGGGCAGGCCTGGTGGTGACAAAATCTCTCAGCATTTGCTTGTCTGTAAAGTATTTTATTTCTCCTTCACTTATGAAGCTTACTTTGGCTGGATATGAAACTCTGGGTTGAAAATTCTTATTTTTAAGAATGTTGAATAGTGGCCCCCACTCTCTTCTGGCTTGTAGAGTTTCTGCTGAGAGATCTGCTGTTAGTCTGATGGGCTTCCCTTTGTGGGTAACCCGACCTTTCTCTTTTGCTGCCCTTAACATTTTTTCCTTCATTTCAACTTTGGTGAATCTGACAATTATGTGTCTTGGAGTTGCTCTTCTCGAGGAGTATCTTTGTGGCATTCTCTGTATTTCCTGAATCTGAATGTTGGCCTGCCTTGCTAGATTGGGGAAGTTCTCCTGGATAATATCCTGCAGAGTGTTTTCCAACTTGGTTCCATTCTCCCCATCACTTTCAGGTACACCAATCAGACGCAGATTTGGTCTTCTCACATAGTCCCATATTTCTTGGAGGCTTTGCTCATTTCTTTTTATTCTTTTTTCTCTAAACTTGTTTCATTTCATTCATTTCATCTTCCATCACTGATACCCTTTCTTCCAGTTGATCGCATCGGCTCCTGAGGCTTCTGCATTCTTCACGTAGTTCTCGAGCCTTGGCTTTCAGCTCCATCAGCTCCTTTAAGCACTTCTCTGTATTGGTTATTCTAGTTATACATTTGTCTAAATTTTTTTCAAAGTTTTCAACTTCTTTGCCTTTGATTTGAATTTCCTCCTATAGCTCGGAGTAATTTGATCATCTGAAGCCTTCTTCTCTCAACTCGTCAAAGTCATTCTCCATCCAGCTTTGTTCCGTTGCTGGTGAGGAACTGCGTTCCTTTGGAGGAGGAGAGGCACTCTGCTTTTTAGAGTTTCCATTTTTCTGCTCTGTTTTTTCCCCATTTTTGTGGTTTTATCTACTTTTGGTCTTTGATGATGGTGATGTACAGATGGGTTTTTGGTGTGGATGTTCTTTCTGTTTGTTAGTTTTCCTTCTAACAGACAGGACCCTCAGCTGCAGGTCTGTTGGAGTTTGCTAGAGGTCCACTGCAGACCCTGTTTGCCTGGATATCAGCAGCGGTGTCTGCAGAACCGCAGATTTTTGTGATCCGCAAGTGCTGCTGTCTGATCGTTCCTCTGGAAGTTTTGTCTCAGAGGAGTACCCGGCCGTGTGAGGTGTCAGTCTGCCCCTACTGGGGGGTGCCTCCCAGTTAGGCTGCTCAGGGGTCAGGAGTCACACTTGAGGAGGCAGTCTGCCCGTTCTCAGATCTCCAGCTGCGTGCTGGGAGAACCACTGCTCTCCTCAAAGTTGTCAGACAGGGACATTTAAGTCTGCAGAGGTTACTGCTGTCTTTTTGTTTGTGCCCTGCCCCCAGAGGTGTAGCCTACAGAGGCAGGCAGGCCTCCTTGAGCTGTGGTGGGGTCCACCCAGTTCGAGCTTCCTGGCTGCTTCGTTTACCTAAGCGAGCCTGGGCAATGGTGGGCGCCCCTCCCCCAGCCTCGCTGCTGCCTTGCAGTTTGATCTCAGACTGCTGTGCTAGCAATCAGGGAGACTCCATGGGCGTAGGACCCTCTGAGCCAGGTGCGGGATATAATCTCCTGGTGCGCCGTTTCCTAAGCCCATCGGAAAAGCGCAGTATTCGGGTGGGAGTGGCCCGATTTTCTACGTGCCGTCTGTCACCCCTTTCCTTGACCAGGAAAGGGAACTCCCTGACCCCTTGCGCTTCCCGAGTGAGGCAATGCCTCACCCTGCTTCGGCTGGCGCACAGTGTGCTGCATCCACTGTCCTGCACCCACTGGCTGGCACTCCCTAGTGAGATGAACCCGGTACCTCAGATGGAAATGCAGAAATCACCCGTCTTCTGCATCACTCACGCTGGGAGCTGTAGACCGGAGCTGTTCCTATTTGGCCATCTTGGCTCCTCCTCTGAAAGTAGCTTTAAGACCAGATGAAAAAGTGAGGACTTGTGGTGGAGAGGAGACCCTACATTAAAAGATAAAGATCAAATACAGCTGTTGTGACTTTAGCTAACCTAATGTAATCCCAGGAACAAAATAGTTCCTATCTTACTTATATGTATTTTTATAAGAGGTTTATTGAGATATAATTCACACAGTATAGAATTAACCCATTTAAAAATGGTATACGATTGAGTTTTTGGTGTATTTAGAGAACTGTGCAGCGATCACCACTGTCAATTTTGAAACCTTTTCATCACTTCAAAAAGAAACCTTATGCCCATTTTCCCTAACTGCCTCCCACCCTCAGCCTGGGCACCCACTGATCTACTTTCTGTCTCTACAGATTTACTTACTCTTGAGCTTTCATATAAATGGAATCGTACACTATCCAGTCTTTTGTGACTGGCTTTTTTCACTTATCATAATGTTTTCCAGTTTCATTCATGTTGTAGCATGTATCAGTATTTCATTCGTGAGTAGTGTTTCATTATCAATCCATTCATTTTGATGGACATTTGAGTTATTTCCATTCTTTGGCTATTTAAAATAATGGTGCCGTGAACATGTGTGTAAAAAATTTTTGTGTGGACATGTGGAAACACACACATGAAAGTATCGTAAAAATTACTTATTCTTATTACATACAGTGGTATACATTTCATTCTGTTCTGTTCTATTTCATTTTCTTTAAAACCCTGCCTATGGTGCACTCAAGTGATTTCAGAGTCCTTTCTGTGATCTTACCCACAACTTTAAAAACTACCCTACAGGATTCCTCACAGGTAAGCTCAGTACCTGTGAGGCAGCCCTTTGTTTAGACATCTCTGGCTAAAAAGATTTTAGAAAGTTGAATCAACATGTGCCTCCTTGTATGTTCTGTCTGTTACTTTTTGTTTCTTGTAGTTTTCCTGGCAATAATATTAGGGACATCTGGATGGTTGTGTTACTTATCCCTTAGCTGTTCTATGGTATCAGTGAAATTGACCATGTGAGGGTGCTTGTAAAACTTTCTTCAGTTTGTTTAATATAAAAAGCTTAAGTTTTGAAATAATTCAAACATACAAAATGGTAGATAGAATAATGTAATGGACACCCTTGTACATACCACCCAGAATGAACAAAATTTAGTGTGGTTTGTTTCTTTTGCAAGAAACTAACGTTATAGATTCAGATGATGCTCTCTTGCCCTTCTGTTTTCCCCTTCCTTCTCAGAGGAGATCATTGTCTTGCAACTGGTGTGCATCCTTTCCGTCTTTGTTTTCTTTTCTTCTTCTTTTTTTTATTGAGATGGAGTTTCGCTCTTGTTGCCCAAGCTGGAATGCAATGGTGCCATCTCGACTCACTGCAGCCTCTGCCTCCAGGGTTCAAGCAATTCTCCTGCCTCTCAGCCTCCCGAGTAGCTGGGATTACAGGTGCGCACTACCATGCCTGGCTAATTTTTTGTATTTTTAGTAGAAACGGGGTTTCACCATGTTAGCCAGGTGGTCTCAAACTCCTGACCTCAGGTGATCTGCCCACCTCGGCCTCCCAAAGGGCTGGGATTACAGGCATGAGCCACCCTGTCTGGTCTGTTTTCATACTTTCATACATACATATATATCCATAACAATATATTACTGTTTTGTGTGTATTTAAATGTCTATCTTTTATAGCATATATATCCTTTTACCCCTCCTCAAAATTAAATTTTTTGATCTCTTATGATGATATAGGTAAAAGAATTAAATTCATTTCTTTTTATTGCTGCCTGCCTTCCCATTTTATAAACATCATTTATTCATTTTCCCATTAGTAGTATTTATAGCGTATTTATTCTGTTTCGCTGTTATAAGCAGTATATACCATTTGACATACACATTTGACATTGGCATGAGTTTCTATGGAGTATATATTTGGAAGTGAAATTGTTGATTCCTAGGGCTTGTACACTGTCAATTTCCCTGTATATTGCCAAATCAAATAGTGATACAGCAATTTACACTCCACTAGCACTGTATGCGAATTTATGTATAGTCTCCTTTTCATCATTATCTGGAACCATAAGACTTTAAAGTTTTTTTAAATTTTTTTTATTTTTTATTTTTTTTTTGAGATGGAGTTTCGCTCTTGTTTCCCAGGCTGGAGTGCAATGGCGTGATCTCGGCTCACTGCAAACTCTGCCTCCCGGGTTCAAGTGATTCTCCTACCTCAGCCTCCTGAGTAGCTGGGATTACAGGCACGCACCATCATGCCCAGCTAATTTTTGTATTTTTAGTAGAGATGGGGTTTCACCATGTTGGCCAGGATGGTCTCAATCTCTTGACCCTGTGATCTGCCCTCTTCGGCCTCCCAAAGTGCTGGGATTACAGGGGTGAACCACCGTGCCCGGCCGACTTTAAAGTTTTTAACAATATTGTGGGTATGAGATGGTATCTAGTTATTTTACTTTCCATTTTCCTGATGACTGATGAGGTAGAGCACCTTTGGTGATCTGTATTTCCTCTTTTGACTGGCCTATTATGCGTTCCCCATTTTTCAATTGAAATTTTTGTCTTTTTCTTGTCGATTTTTGGCATTTAAAAATATTCTGGATTATTCTCTATTATCTGTATAGCAAATATTTATTTATCTTTTAGTTTATGGCTTATTTTTCATTCTCATGGTATCTTTGGTTTAGCAGATTTAATTTTTTTATGTTATCCTATTTAGATCCTTAATGATTCTTGGTCTGTCTGTGTATTACTTTATCACTGTGGAATTTACTATAGTTTTAGAATATCTTAATTTTTCACAAAATAAATCTCAAATGTAGTTTTTTTTTTAAAAAAAGCATTATAGAAAAGTGATTAAATGTTAAAGGACCTAGAATTAGACTCCATGGATTTAAAGCTCACCTCTGCCACTAGCTCACTGTGTGAACTTGGCAAACACTTAACTTCTTTAATCTTGGGTTTTTACACCAATACAATGTGAATAAGAATAGTACCCAGTTCATATGTTGTGAGGATTAAAAAAGATAATATACATAAAGCTGTAGCTGGGCGTTTGGCATATAGTAAGAGCTCAATAAATGTTAGCTCCTTTTTTTTTAAGCTCCTATAATTATCATTTCTTGGTATAAAACTGATACTCGGTGTCATATATGCAAATCGCTGGATTTCTCTGTTTTCATAAGAGCTGTGATTTGTATCAAAGTCTCCAGGATGGTGGAACAATTTGCTCTCTGGTGCTAGTTTTGGATCTAGCTTTGGTCTCACTGCAGGTGTTTCCAAAAACATAGCTACCAGATTAGAGGACAAGATGCTCCGTTTTAATAGTCTGTTTTAATTTCCTTTTTAAAAAACATGTTTTGCCTGAAATACTTCAATATGCAAATCAAAAGGAACAGACAGGTGATCTAGAAGAAAGGGCTTCTAAAATTTTATAGATGGTAGCATTTATTATAAAAAAAGTTGAGTCTTCTGTGAAAATTAAGATGACTTTGCATTTGAAATATATGTATGGCAACAATACTGATTTTTAATATAGTTTTTAAAACAATAGCTTTATTGACATATTCATATACCATAAAATTCACTCTTTTAGAATATACAATTCAGTGGTTTTTAATATAGTTTTAAATAAAAGTTTGTCATTCTGAATTCATTGTTTTTTCCTTTCTGTTTGGACTCTTCTCTTTTAATTATTGTGCTGTTTTTGGTACCATTGTAGAGTAGTTGTGATCTTAAAATTTTCAGCTTCTTATTAATCTGGGCCCAGCATTAGATGTAGCCTTCAGATCAATGGAAAGAACTGAAGAACTTCCATGTTCTTGCAGTGGATTCCCATATTTAATAAATATTTTAATACTTATCAATCAACCATGTGTTTCTGAATTTCTAACAGTTTTAAACAGTCTTTCCAAAATCTGTTATTCTGAAGTTAATTGTTTGTGTTATTTCTCTTTTTCAAGAAATAATTAGGTTAGAAGAAGTCCATATGCTTTCATTTTAAGCATCATATGTTCACTGATGAAAGTATTCAGTGTTCAGGAAGAAGAGAGCTCCAAGTGCAGATAGTATTGTTGCTGCTGGTGGTAGTGGGGTGTGTGTGTGTGTGTGTGTGTCTGTGTGTGTGTGTGTAGAGTATTCTGCATCTCATCTCCATAAGGCCATTGGGTCACTCTTCGTCCTTATATTTCACTTGACAAGAAGAGAAACAGTTATACTTTTCTCTGAACCTTCTGGCCCTTGTGCAGTTGGGTATTTCAGTTATGTTAGAGCTATTAATCATGCCTTTTTATAGCTCCTCTTCTCTGCAGTATGTTTTCACTAGAACTAGAGATTCTTGATTTCTCTTTTTATCATTCTATCTTTGAATAATGAGGGAACTGAGGGGATTGGCAAATATTTAATAGACTTTGGTTCTTGTTCCTTTTCTTACAAAGTTTAAACTTGCCAGCTCTGCAATTAAAATTTTTCCATTGGTTCTATTTCAGGTTAAGGCTCAGTAGCTGTTTTGAGTAACTAACACTAATGCAGTTTGTGTGTGTGTTGCAATTTCCTGTGATTTGATTTGTGAACTGACATCCTTTTAACTCACTCCAAAAACATTTATTGAGGTCCTACTATGTGGCACTGTTCTGTGCCTTTGGGATACATCAGTGAATAATAAAAAAAATTCTTTCTTCTGGGCTTATGTTCTAGCACATAGACAAAAATATAGTAAATGATGCAGTAATACATTATATGGTATGTTCAAAGGTGATAAGTACTATGGAAAATAAAAAATATAGCATGGTAATGGAGACTGGTAGTGCAGGGGAGTGTAGGGGGCATACGTTGTAATTTCTAGTAGGGTAGTCCGTTAGGCCTCAGAGAAATGACATTAGGAAAAGACTTGAAGGATGTGAGGAGTGAGTCATACAGGTATCTTAGGAAGAGCATTATATATAGAGAGAATAACCAGTATAATGACCCCAAGGCCAGAGTATATCGGTCAAATATGAATAACAAGATGACTGCTCCAAAGAAGATTGGTGATGGAAGATCTT